>NC_000011.10:102930000-103233030 GCF_000001405.40 Homo sapiens | reverse complement strand
GCCACTTTACGGCTATTTAAATTTAAATTATTAAAGATAAATAAAATTTTAAATTCAATTCCTCAGTCATATTACAAACATTGCAAGTGCTCAGTAACTGCATATGACTATTGGCTACCATACTGGATAAACACAGAGCACAGAACATTTCCATAATCTCATGAAGTTCCATTAAACAGCACTGTTCTAAAACCTGGAAATGGAAAGCTGCATCTTTATTGACCACAACATTTCATATTACACCTTGAACATGGTTTTGCAATGAATATTTGTTGCATTAAATCAACTCTCATATCTCTGTATAAGTTGTATTAGAAATGGAAACCATCTCTTTAATTTTGTAAAATTAGAATTTAAAAATTGATAGATCATGCTTATTTTTCAAGTCCTTTATTCTTTGTTGATGTATAAGAAAATAAGACTGTTACTCATGGCCTAGAGTCAATTAAACCTTAATTAAGGATCAGTATAAGTAACAGCATGGTAACCAACATTAATTCATTCTCAACAATGACTCTATAATGAAAAATGTCATTCTGTTTTATTTAAAATTAAAAGTTAATTCCAAAAGTTCTTATAATAATCCTTCCAAAATAATGGTAGTATGGTGCAATGGTTAAGAGCAGAAACTTTATGGAATTAGACAAATCTAGTATCTAACATGGCTTAGTATTTTACTAGCTGCTCAACTTCAGACAAAAAAGACTATATAATTTTAACCTTCCTAATCTGCTAAATAGAAATAGATTTACTTCTCATCATTGTTTTAAGGATTAAAGAAATAAATACATAAATTACCCAGTATAACACCTAACACAGCAAGTGACTAATAAATGAAGTCAAAACATTGCCATAACAAGCTAATTATTCAATAAATATTTGAGAATTAGCTGAATATTAAGTGCTGATTGTGAGCACATGACAGTGAAAATAATACATTATACTTATTTTTCTTATACTTCTCTAATAATACCTGGAAAAAATGATGTGAATTATTTCCTATATTTCTAACATAATTGTTCAGGAATATTGAAAACACTGGGTTTATTGGTTTGGGGTTTTCTTTTCGGTTTGATTTTTTTCTATAAGTATTTCTCTATAAGTATATATTGGTGAGACAGAAAGAGAAACTGAAGAAGAGAGAGAGGGGGAGAGAGAAACACACACACAGAGAGAGAAAATTGTTTCCTGAACGTAGAGAAAAAATTCATAGTTTTAATCTGAATAATTTCTTGGTAAAATAATTAGTTTTGCTTCCATTAAAAAAGGAAGTATGATACATCACTTCAACATACACTGTATTAAATCAGATATTATTCAGCTTTTCAATCTTCACAACTTTTAAAAGAAAATGTTCTAACATTTATAATTCCCATACCAATATTTTCTACCCTGTACTAAATGGGATACATGAAAGGCTTTAAAACTAATATTCAAAAATGATCCTTAACTTGAGTATAACATTTGCATGAAGAAATTTTTTTAACACAAAAGAGAAAAAAGTTAAAAGGATAGAATTTTTAAACATAATAATGTACCCTTAAAAAGATTATAGACTACTGGGTCCCACAGCATCATCTGACATAAGAGTCTAAATCTTAAAAGTCAAAACAAGAAAGAAATCAAGATGTCAAATGTAAACACTCTCAGCATTATCCAAAATACACTTCAAAATATAACTTACTTTTCTTTGAGTTCTGATACCTTTTGACCAACAGAATTAAGAAGCTCCTCTAGTTTCCTTTTTCTGTCTTCAGTTTTCTTCAGATTCCTAAAATATAACTCAATATTATACAAGTCATTCTATTTTAGATATCAACTATAAAGCAGCAGCAGCACCTTAAAATGTAATCATATGACAATTAAAACTGTCAGTAACTCAGTATTATAACACCTTTACTTAGAATTTAATTTGAAAAGCAACGCTAAAATTAGAAGTGTTTCCTCTGACCCAACTATACCACTTCTAGGAATTTATATTTAAAAACACTCATACGTGTAAATTTCTGGATAAAAATGGTAAACATATTTATTTATCTTCTATCCCTTCTAGAACCCTACTAAAATGAAGCCAAGAAAATAAGAAAGATACATATGCACAGAGATCAAAAGAGGAAAGTATGAAATAGGAGAAATTTCAAAAATAACTTTCTTTTTTTAAGAGACAGAGTCTCACTCTGTTTCTCAGGCTAGAGTGCAGTGGTACGATCAGAGCCCACTGCAGCCTCAAACTCCTAGGCTTAAGCAATCTTCCCACCTCAGCATCCTGCACCCTCAAAGTTCAATAAACTTTTAAAAAGTAATAACTAACATACCGGAACGCAAAAAGCCAAAAGCTAAAATGCCTATACAAAGAGGAGCCAAAAAAAGCAGAATCCTAAAATGTTCAGAAAATGTACAGATACTTATGAAGGTAACAATAAAGCTAAATACAGAAGATTATTTAATAATTGATATTACAAAGAGTTGGACCTCAGAATCCATCCTCTATTGAGAGCTGACTACCGCTAATAAAACCCAGAATGCTGCAAGTCTAGCTTATGCCCTTACTCATCTCCATCAACCTCTATGCACACATCCTAGGTGAAAGATAAAAAGATTCTTTTACAGTAAAATGACTGACACCTTATCCTCTCAAAATACCCACAAATATTAAGGGGTTGCCATAAAATGGCCAGTCCATATTTGATCGCCTTACAGTGATGCTCAGCAGCCAAGGAGCCCAGGCCACACACTCAGGGCTTCCAGTCAGACTTCTAAAACTCACGATTAATAACTAACAACCAAGGATCAGACAGGTCAAGAAAGCTTCCTAACTCCCTAAAAATATGGGGTAACATACAAAACACTGGGAATCAAAGTAGCATTAGACTTTTTAAAAGCAACACTGAACTCTAGAGGAGAGTACAGCAGGGGTTCTCAAACTTCAGTGTACACCAAAATTACCTGTCAAAACAGAGATTGCGAGGGCTTACTGTCCCCTCCCCCTCAATATATCTGAATCAGAATCAGTTAGTTTGGGTGGAGTTTAAAAATCTGCACTTTTAACAAGTTCCAAAGTGATGCTGATGCTGCTGGTCTAGGAACCAAATTTTGAGAATTACTGCAATAGAATAAGGCCTTCAAAATTGTGAGCTAAAACTATTTCTAGTCTAGTATTTAAACACAACCCAATTATTGATCACATACAATAATATATTATAGACACTTTTAGACATGCAAATCTCAAAATATGTTCCAGCCCATATACTCTTTCTACCATGGAAGATGTGTTCTAGAAACCTGAAGAACTAAAGGAAGGAAGAGAAAGACAGGAATTCATAATAAAAGAATACAATAGGTAATCTCTAGAACAATGCTGAAGAGAAGCCCCAAGACAACAGCCTTAAGCAGCAGGCCTAAAGCTAAGAAAAAATAAATAGAACACACAGATCAATGAAGATGTTTCAGGGCTCTGACAGAGAAACTGTGGATAAATTTGTGATACGTAAACAGAAAAATATAATCAACTAAAAAAAGGAGGCAATTCTTATATTAAGAAGCAAAAAGTATACAAGAAAGGAAATAAGATGAATAAATTTTAATACACAGTATGAAATTAATAGATAATGTCAAAAATTGAACAATCAAGAATATAAGTCAATTAGGATTAAGATGACAGATAGCAAGCAGGACTAGCTTGCAGCTCCCACTCAGACAGACAGAGGAGCATGTGGAGACTTACATGGTGAACTTTCGCTGCAAGAACTACTGCAGGAACATACTAGGAAAGCCAAAAGAATCCACAGACCCTTTGAAGGAACTGGGTCACCACTGCAGGCTCCCTGAGATACCAAAAAACTTAAGTCCGCTTGCTTTCTCAACAGAAGGCTCATGGTCTGGGGCAAGTTCTCAGCCCTGGTCACTGGCTGCCTGGAAATACATTTGGTGCTGTTGGGGCATGGTGGGAGTGAGACCAGCCTTTAGGACTGCAGACTACATAGGAGGCCGGTGAGGCCTGTGCCTGCTGGCTTTCCCCCACTACCCTGGGTGACCTGCATGACTCAGCAGAGGTAGCCATAATCCCCCTGGGAATATAATTACATTGGACTGGAAACCACACCCCCCTCCCCCACAGCAGCCACAACAAGCCCCACCAAAGGAGAGGCTGAGCTCAGATACATCTATCCCTGCCCCCACCAGGTGTTCTTTCTCTACCCACCCTGGTAGCCAAAAACAAAGGTCATAATATCTTGAAAGCTCTAAGGCCCTGCCCACCGCCTGAGAAACCTGAAGAGTTAACCAGGTGTCCCTAGGGCAAGTTTGCATCCTCCCTATAGGACCACAGCTGATGCACTCTTGAAAGGGCCACCTCCTGGCTGGAGGCCAACCAACACAAAACCAGCACACTAAACAAAAACACAACCAATGACCATCACAGAGTTCACTTCATTCCCCTGCTACCTCCAGTGGAGCAGGTGCTGGTATCCACAGCTAAGATACCTGAAGACAGATCACATCACAGGACTCTGTGCAGACACTCCCCAACACCAGCCCAGAGCCCAGTAGCTCTGCTGGGTAGCTAGACCCAGAAGCGCAAAAACAATCACTACAGTTCAGATCTCAGAACTACCCATTCCTAGGGGAAGGGAAAGACCATCACAGCAAGGGAGCGCCCCATGAGACAAAAGAATCTGATCAGCTGCACTTGAATCCCAGATCTTCCCTCTGACATAGTCTACCCAAATGAGAAGGAACCAGAAAAACAATTGTGGTAATATGACAAAACAAGGTTCTTTAACACCCCCAAAATATTATACCAGCTCATCAGCAATGGATCTAAACCTCCCATCTCAATACTAACACTGAACGTAAATGGCGTAAATGCTCCACTTAAAAGATACACAATGGCAGAATGGATAAGAATTCACCAACCAAGTTTCTGCTGTCTAAAAGAGACTCACCTGACACAATAAGGACTCTCATAAACTTAAGGTAAAGGGGTGGAAAAACATATTCCATGCAAATGGACACCAAAAGTAAGCAAGAGTAGCTATTCTTATATCAGACATAACAAACTTTAAAGCAACAGCAATTAAAAAAGACAAAGAGGGACATTATATAACGATAAAAGGACTAGTCCAACAGGAAAATATCACAATCCTAAACATATATGCACCTAACAATGGCAGTCCCAAATTTATGAAACAATTACTACTAGACCTAAGAAATGAGATAAACATCAACACAATAATAGTGAGAAACTTTAATACTCCACTGACAGCACTAGACAAGTCATCAAGACAGAAAGTCAACAAAGAAATAATGGACTTAAACTATACCCTACAACAAATGGACTTAACAGATATTTACAGAGCATTCTAGCCAATGACAGCAGAATATACATTCTATTCATCAGCACATGGAACATTCTCCAAAATAGACCATATGACAGGCCACAAAACAAGTCTCAGTACATTTAAGAAAATCGAAATTATATCAAGTACTCTCTCAGACCACTGTGGAATAAAACTGGAAATCAACTCCAAAAGGGACCTTCAAAACGATGCAAATATGTGGAAATTAAATAACCTGCTCCTGAATGATTGTTGGGTCAACAATGAAATCAAAATGGAAGTTGAAAAATTGTTTGAACTGAATTATAATAGTAATACAACCTATCAAAACCTCTAAAATACAGCAAAGATGGTGCCAAGAGGAAAGCTCATAGCATTAAATGCCTATATCAAAAAGTACGAAAGAGTATAAATAGACAATCTAAGGTCACACCTCATGGAACTGAAGAAACAAGAACAATCCAAACCCAAACCCAACAGAAAAAAAAAATAACGAAGATTAGAGCAGAACTAAATGAAATTGAAACAAAAAAAATACAAAAGATAAATGAAACAAAAAGTTCATTCTTTGAAAAAATAAAATTGACAGACCATTTGCAAGATTAACCAAGAAAAGAAGAGAGAAGATACAAATTAGCTCAATTAGAAAGAAATGGGAGATGTTACAACTGACACCACAGAAATACAAAAGATTATTCAAGGCTACTATGAACACCTTTATGCACATAAACTAGAAAACCCAGAGGAGATGGATAAATTTCTGGAAATATACAACCCGCCTAGATTAAACCAGGAAGATATAGAACCTCTTAACAGACCAATAACAAACAGCAGGATTGAAATGGTAATTTTAAAATCTTGATGGATTCACAGCTTAATTCTATAAGACATTCAAAGAAGAATTGGTACCAATCCTATTGACACTATTCAAAAACATAGAGAAGATGGGAATCCTCCCTAAATCAATCTATGAAGCCAGTATCACCCTAATATCAAAACCAGGAAAGGACATAACAAAATAAGAAAACTATAGACCAATATCCCTGATGAACACAGATGCAAAAATCCTCCACAAAACACTAGTGAACCAAATCCAATAGCATATCAAAAAGATAATCCACCATGATCAACTGGGTTTCATACCAGGGATGCAAGTTTAACATACGTTAAGTCGATAAATGTGATACACCACATAAACAGAATTAAAAACAAATATCACATAATCATCTCAATAGACACAGAAAAAGCATTTAACAAAATCCAGTGTCCCTTTATGATTAAAATCTTCAGCAAAATTGGCACAGAAGGGACATACCTTAAGGTAATAAAAGCCATCTATGGCAAACCCACAGCCAACATTATACTGAATGGGGAAAAGTGGAATGCATTCCCCATGAGAACTGGAACAAGAGACAAGGATGCCCACTTTCACCACTTCTATTCAACATAGCACTGTAAGTTCTAGCCAGAACAATCAGACAAGAGAAAGAAATAAAGGGCATCCAAATTGGTAAAGCGGAAGCTAAACTGCCAGTGTTTGCTGATGATACTATTATATACCTAGAAACCCCTAAAGACTCATCCAAAAAGCTCCTAGAACTGGTAAATGAATACAGCAAAGTTTCAGAACATAAAATTCATGTACACAAATCAGTAGCTCTGCTATACACCAACTGCAACCACACTAAGAATCAAATCAAGAACTCAGCTCCTTTTACAGTAGCTGTAAAAAAAAAAAATACTTAGGAATACACCTAACCAAGGATATGGTTACAAACAAATGATACAAACAAATGGAAACATATCCCATGCTCACAGATGGGCAGAATCGATATTGTGAAAATGACCATACTGCCAAAAGCAATCTACAAACTCAATGTGATTCCCATCACAATACCACCATCATTCTTCACAGAAGTAGAAAAAACAATCCTAAAATTCATATGGAACCAAAAAAGAACCTGCATAGCCAAAGCAAGAGGAAGCAAACAAACAAATCTGGAGGCATCACATTACCCAACCTCAAACTATACTATAAGGCCACAGTCACCAAAACAGCATTGCACTGGTATAAAAATAGGCACATAGACCAATGGAACAGAAGAGAAAATCCAGAAATAAACCCAAATACTTACAGCCAACTGATCTTTCACAAAGTAAACAAAAACATAGAGTAGGGAAAGGATGCCCTATTCAACCAATGGTGCTGGGGTAATCGGAAAGCCCCACGTAGAAGAATGAAACTGGATCCTCGTCTCTCACCCTATACAAAAATTAACTCAAGATGGATCATAGACTTAAATCTAAGACCTGAAACCATAACCATTCTAGAAGATAACATCAGAAATACCCTTATAGACATTGGCTTAGGTAAAGACTTCATGACCAAGAACCCAAAAGCAAATGCAACAAATACAAAGATAAACAGACGGGACTTAATTAAACTAAAATCCTTCTGCATAGCAAAAGAAATAATCAGCGGAGTTAACAGACAACCCACAGAGTAGGAGAAAATCTTCACAATCTATACATCCAACAAAGGACTAATATCCAGAATCTACAACAAACTCTTACAATTCAGCAAGAAAAAAACAAACGACTCCATCAAAAAGTGGGCTAAGAACATGAATAGACAATTCTCAAAAGAAGATACACAAATGGCCAACAAGCATATGGAAAAATGCTCAACATCATTAATTATCAGAGAAATGCAAATCAAAACCACAATCCAGTACCACCTCACTCTTGCAAGAATGGCCATAATAAAAAAATTAAAAAAGTATAGATGTTGGCAGGGATGCAGTGAAAAGGGAACACTTTTACACTTTTGGTAGGAATGTAAACCAGTACAACCACTGTGGAAAACAGTGTGGAGATTCCTTAAAGAACTAAAAGTAGATCTACTCTTTGATCCAGTAATTCTACTACTAGGTATCTACCCAGAGGAAAAGAAGGCATTATATGGAAAAGACACTTGCACACGCATGTTTGTAGCAGCACAAATTGCAATGGCAAAAATATGGAACCAACCCAATGCCCATCATTCAGCCAGTGGATAAAGAGAATGTGGTATATATATACCCCACGGAATACTGCTCAGCCACAAAAAGAAACAAAATAATGGCATTTGCAACAATCTGGATGGAATTGGAGACTAATATTCTAAGTAAAGTATCTCAGGAATGGAAAACCAAACATTGTACGTTCTCACTCACGTAGGAGCTAAGCTATAAGGACGCAAAGGCGTAAGAATGAGGCATTGGACTTTGGAGACTCGGGAAAGGGCAGGGGGTGGCAAGAGATAAAAGACTACACATTGGGTATAGTGTAACACTGCTCAGATGATGGCTGCACCAAAATCTCTGAAATCACCACTAAAGATTTCATTCATGTAACCAAACACCACTTGTTCCCCAAAAACCTATTGAAATTTTTTTTTTTAAAAGAACATAAACCTTTGGGTCTGCATTTAGAACAAAAGAGATAAAATATATTTCTGACTTAGTAACGATAGCAAATTAGAACCACAGCTCTAATAGTAAGTGGTTAAATCTTCCTCCTACCTGCCCACACACTGTTTTGGAAAATACATGCTAAGCATTTCCTAGAACTTAGAAGGTAAAAACAAATACAAAAGCCTTAAATTTCCAGCAAGGCACGGTGGCTTATGCCTGTAATCCCAGCACTTTGGGAGGCGGAGGTGGGCGGATCACTAGGTCAGGAGATCGAGATCATCTTCGCCAACATGGTGAAACCCCTTCTCTACTAAAATACAGAAAATTAGCCAGGTGTGGTGGCACATGCCTGTAATCCCAGCTACTTGGGAGGCTGAAGCAGGGGAATCACTTGAACCCGGGAGGCGGAGGTTGAAGTAAGCTGAGATCGCGCCACTGCACTCCAGCCTGGCGACAGAGCAAGACTCTGTCTCAAAAAAAAAAAAAAATCAATAAATAAACATAAAAGTCTTAAATTTCCAAAGCTTTCCTTTCGTACTTTAACATTATTCCTTGGCCAGGCGTGGTGGTCCACACCTGTAATCCCAGCACTTTGGGAGGCCAAGGCAGGTGAATCACCTGAGGTCAGGAGTTCAAGACCAGCCTGACCAACATGTTATTTTAGTCTCTACTAAAAATAACAAAATTAACCGGGCGTGGTGGCACATGCCTGTAATCCCAGCTACTCGGGAGGCTGAGACAGGAGAATCGCTTGAACCTGGGAGGTGGAGGTTTTGGTGAGCCGAGATCACACCACTGCAATCCAGCCTGGGCAACAAGAGCGAAACTGTGTCTCAAAAACAAAAAACAAAAAACGACAACAACAAAAAAAATTCCTTTATGAAACTTTGGCTCCTTCTAAAGGAACTTTTACCTAGCCTTCCAACAATATAATAATGGTAAAGAAAAAGTGAGTTGGTTCTTCTCTCTCCTTCTAATTGCTTTCTTTTTTTGATCTGTTTTTAAATTTGTCTTTAATTGACTCATTCATATATTTTAGTATTGTCAACTGCCATTTTACAAATAGAGAAAAAATAAAAATAATAATTATTAAAACCTCATCAAACTGATGAAAATAAAGGTTAGAATTGTTTATATTTTATATTTCACTTACGATTCTAATCCTGCCTGTTCAGTTTCCAAAGGATGAATTCGTTCCAAGACATGGGAATACTGAATATTGGCTTTCACCCAGGCAGCCAAAGGTGCAGCTGCAGTACTGGCACGCTTAGCATTCTGAAAAATCCATGAGAAGTGATTCAACATCCTTACTTAATTTCAAATGAAAGCAAAGTTAATTCTAACACACTTTATTTGGGCACTTATTAACTTGACCCAAATAAAGTAGTTTTTTGGCTTATAGCTAAAATAAAAATACAGTGAACTTCTATTTTGATTAAAAGAAATATACATGAACTCTATTTTCACTTAAAAATAAATTTTTTGAACCACACAGAATCTTTAAATTAAAGATGTTTTATCAACATAATTTTCTATTAGTCACATTTCTAATGAATACATGTGTCATCCACAACAATGTTTGAGCATCAATTCTTTTTCTTCTATACATGTGATTTATCTTTATTAGATAAGAGCAGCTTTAAAACTATTGTAGTTGGTGTTAAAGAAGATGTACATAACATTTTGATTAAGGGATCTAAAAAAATACCAGAATCATGAAATCTAAATTGTTCACTGAAATTAGATACCACTGTCCTAAAACAGATACCTGTTGTTATCTGACAAGTACACAAGAAAAAATAAAAGCATACCAGGACAGTTGAAAGCTTAAAAAAAAAGCTGAGAACATTAACAGCAGATACAAAACTATTAAAACCACTCAAGATAATAAATCTCCCCTGCTACCTAGATTCTAATTTACCTGATTCTGATGGTTAATGCTTCCCAAGTGTAATTCCTATAAGCTTATTTTTTATTTTCATTTTTAGGTGATCTAAACAGTTGGCAATGACAAAGCACCACATTTTAAAAAGCAGAATATTATATGGTATGGAAAAACAAATTTATAGTATAACTTAAAAATTACCTTTGGATCAAAAGAGCCTTTATTTTTAAAAAGAAGTTCTTCAACACTCTCTCTTATTTCCTTTGAAATATTTCGGGCATCAAAGGTTGCTATGTCTTCTCTTACACCTCTTTTTGCAAGGAAACTAAAATTAAAGCATATTTCCTTAAATGAGGCTAAATAAAATTTGCTGTTTCTGAAAAAAAATCAGTTTAACAAAATGGTGTATGCAATACTTTTAATCCATTAGTTAACAAAAATATGGTATTAAAACCTTTAAGCTTCTAATGTATTATCCTTATTTTTGTTTGTTTGATTTGAGACAGAGTCTCGCTCTGTCACCCAGGCAGGAGTGCTGTGGTACAATCTCAGCTCACTGCAATCTCCACCTCCTGGGCTCAAGCGATCCTCCCAGCTCAGCCTCCCAAGTAGCTGGGACCACAGGTGCGTGCCACTACACCAGGCTAATTTTTGTATTTTTGGTAGAGATGGGGTTTAACCATGTGGCCCAGGCTGGTCTCAAACTCCTGGCCTAAAGTGCCTTGGCCTCCCAAAGTGCTGGGATTACAGGTGTGCCCAGCTGTATTATCGACTTTTCGTAGACAACAAAAACTCTAGAGAGATGTAGGACAGTCTTTCTAATGTTCTGTGAATAAACTAGAACAAGAAATGATATGAAAGAATCACAATCTTGTTCTACTCAAATCCTTATTTGTGAACTATTAGGTACTCATATGTTCTAGGATATGCAAGAAAATTGTCTGACTCCTTTTAAGGTAACTTAAAGTGCTCTGTCAACCTATGTCCTCCTCCATCTCCAGATATAAAAGGAACTCTTTACTATCAACCTAAATACTGACAAGGAACTTAATATCGGCACAAACCATAACACAACTATTATAACATGAAACCTGAACCTGCATGGTTTCATATTTTGTTAATACCTTATTCTCTTCTAGTTTGCAGCTCCCTTTTATTATTTAAGGGTCTCCCTCTTTCTGTTTCTGTCTCTGTCTTTTTCCCTCTCTCGGTAGTACAAGACTCTTAAGGATAGTGACTATATTTTCTTCAACAGTAAATCATGGTGAAATCACAGTCCTCTATACTATGTATGGACCAAATATATTATTATATTTATTGAGAAATTTCTTAAACATTCTAAGGTATTCCTTTTCTCCTCTTTTGACACTTTTAACAATCACTTATACAGAAAGGAATATATAGATCTTGATATATGATTACATAGAATACCTTGAAATTTCAAGCCAAAATGTACACCCATGTATTTAGATGAAGTGCATTTTGAAAAACAATATAAGAAATATTTAAAACTACGAAAGAATGTGTCATTCATTGCCGAAATAATATTTTTCACAAATTGAAAAATGTACCTTTTCATGCTCACCCAAGATGTATCAAAGATACCCATCAACCTTAAAACTCCTTCAAGAATATCTCTAATTACATCAGGTGGCATGCGTAGTGAGCGAATTTCTGAAAGTGATTCGGGCTTAATGTTTCCAACTGCTAGTTTAGCTTCATTGACTAAAGGCTAAAAGAGAAAAAGGCCATTTTTATCTTCAAATTATATATTTCTTTAAATCATTAACTCTTGAAAAATTATGTTTTATTGTCATTTATGCAAAATGACTATAGTTACTAATGTTCTCTCTCTTAAAATATCAAAATGCTTTCAATCATACAAGGTGTAAAAAATGTTCAACTTGAGACAGTAAGACGTCTTGCCACCACAACTGCAATAACCTAATTTGGAAAATCTAACTTGTTTTGAGACAATTTGTCATTTTCAAGAGGCTCTTTATATCCTAGGACTAGCTGACTAATTTAATCAACTGGAGAAAAAGAGCTTAACAGTATATCTTAATTTATCTAACACATTTTTTCCCTCTGCAATCAAAACCATATGGCTCTTGGAAAACAAAGATTATTTTTAATTATCATCCATTAATTTATACTTTTCCTGGAAGGCTTTCCTTCTTGTTCTCTTTTACAAGTAACATTTTGGTTGAAAACCACATTTTATAATACTATGAGAAAACAACTTGAGTTACAAATAATGTTTAAATTCCTACATATAACTGGTAAGCAAAAATGTAAATGGATCTTAGAATGTTTTTTAACTTACTTGTACTTCTTTTAATTCATCATCAATTTTATTTTTTCTTTCTTCAATTTTAACAACTTCTTCTGCTATTCTGTGCTTCAGTCTTTCAAGTTCTGTTTTTTGCTCACTAGCATCCTATAAGAATATTTAAGTGGCATTCCAATCAATTTTAATGCTTGATATTTAAAAGCATGAAATCCAAAATATAACATTTCAAAATAACATTTTCTATTAAATGTTTCCTAATACTAGTTTTGAATCTATGACAAGAGAGTTTCCAAAATGCCTGGGAAACCAATGATATATTTTACTCCATATTTTCTATCAGAAAGGTTTCAGTGCTTTAATTTTTTTCTACTTAGCAAAGCAATAAATGCTTTTTATATAAAATTTAAACAAGATAGAAAAACGTAATTTTCTCCTTTTTAATTTTTTTTGAGATGGAGTCTTGCTCTTGTCGCCCAGGCTGGAGTGTAAGAGCACAGTCTCAGCTCACTTCAACCTCCACCTCCTGGGTTCAAGTGATTCTCCTACCTCAGCCTCACAAGTAGCTGGGATTACAGGTGCCCACCACCATGCCCAGCTAATTTTTATAGTTTTAGTAGAGACGGGGTTTCGCCATGTTGGCCAGGCTGGTCTCAAACTCCTGACCTTGTGACCCACCCACCTCAGCCTCCCAAAATGCTGGGATTACTGGCGTGAGCCACTGCGCCCAGCAGAAATACACAATTTTCAAGGTATGATTTTAATTTGTATTTCCTTGATTATTGATGAGGTTGAACATCTTTGTATATATTTGTCATTCTGAGTTTTTTTTTCCTTTTTTTCTTTTTGAGACAGGGTCTCACTATGTTAATTAGGCTCCCAGACTCAAGGGGTCCCCCCAACTTCAGCTTCCCAAATAGCCGACATTAAAGGCATGTATTGCCATGCCCAGATCCTGAAATGCATAATTTCTTAAACAATCATAATAAAACATATTAAACACTTAAACAGCCCAGGCACAGCTCATGGATTCCTTCTTTTATTAACCTCCTGTTCCAATTGGAAGGTATCTCTATTCTGAGTTTGTATAGCATTTAATTTGCACTTTCTTTATGCCATTAACCTAGAATTGCAAGCCTTAGAAGTTACACAACTTGGTATTTAAGCTATCTCTTCAGACAGTGCTTTCTACAAAATACCAAACAGAAATATCTGCTATTTATAATTAAGCAAAATTATTAACTTATGAGATGCACAGTTATTCTCCTGGGTCTTTGCTGGATAATAAAATTAGCTACAGTCTTAGAAATATCGCTTCTCAGAACAGCGCAGAGAAAAAAGTAGCAGATACTCAATGTGTATTACTAATGTCACTAGCCAGAGAGTACACAAAGCACACATAATGCCGAATATTTTCCTTTATAAACACATGGTAATCAAAACACCAAATATTTTCCTTTATAAACACATGGTAATCAACAGTGTTATCCTTTACATAGTGTTTACTTTTTGATATTTCAAACAACTCTTTTAAGGTCAAAATAATTGACAGATTTTTTAACAATAAAAATGGCTGTCTTCATTAAGTAAATATTTATATTAATTTTGTTCCAAAATACCTTGAGAAAAAAATATGTTAAAGTTTTCCAGTATAAAAATTATATTTACATTTTCTGATGTATTACTTACCAGGTCAGGTACTCACTAATTTGATTTCTATCATAGTTTGGCTGTTTCTATAATTTCTTACAAAGGAATCATACAGTATACAGTCTTTCGTGTCTGGCTGTTTTCGCTTAAGTGTAATGCTTCTAAGATTTATCACGTTTTCATTTCTCTCAGCTAAAAATCTGAAAGTGGGACTGCTGGCTGATGTACTAAGATATGTTTAACTTTATGAGACTGTGTCAAACTTTTGAAAAGTAACTGTAGCATTATTCATTTCCTCCAGCAATTATAAGAGTTCCAGATGCTCCACACGGCCTTGCCATACTAGACTGAGGTGTTTTCAGTCTTTTTATTTTACCCATTCTAGTGGATATGTAGCAGCATATCACTGGGACTTTAGCTCACACTTACTTGATGATCATGAAATTAAGCATATTTTCATGTGTTTACTGTCCCTTTATATGTCTTCTTTCATAAATGGCCTGCTCAAATCTTTTGTTCATGTTAAACTGGATTTTTGTTTTGCTATTATTGAGTTGCAGTATTTTTAAAATTCTGAATAGAAGTTCTTTATCAAATATATGTTTTGTAAATATTTTCTCCCAGTCTGTGACTTGCCTTTTCATTTCGGAATTTATTTCAAAGAGCAGAAGTTTTCATTTTGATGAAATTCAATTTATCAATTTTCTTTTTCTATTTTGATATCACATCAAACAAGTCTTTGCCTCACCAAGGTCATAAAGATGTTCTCCTGTGTTTTCTTCTAAGTTTTATAATTTCATGTTCTACACTAAGATCCATCATCCACACTGTGTAAATTTTTGTGTAAGTTAAAAGGTAAAGGTTCTGGGCTTTTTCTCTCTCTACCTGGATATCTAAATATCCAGCACCATTTTTCAAAAAGACTATCTTTCCCCATTTATTTGGCATTTTTGTGTAAAATCAACCGACCACATTCCAGTGATCTCTATGCCTAATATTACAGTAATATCAGATTGCCTTATGATTACTGAAAAGTGACTCTTGAAATCCTAAGTCCCAGTCCCAGCTACTCGGGAGGCTGAGGCAGGAGAATGGCGTGAACCCGGGAAGCGGAGCTTGCAGTGAGCCGAGATTGCGCCACTGCAGTCCGCAGTCCGGCCTGGGCGACAGAGCGAGACTCCGTCTCAAAAAAAAAAAAAGAAATCCTAACTCCCATAACTTTGTTGATTTTTCATGCCACTTACTTTTTAATTGAGATATATACATTAGTCTGATGAATATTAAAGTTAATTTTCATAAAAGAGGCATTAGATTAGTGCCTAGTTGACAAGGTAACAGTTACCAAGAGGGAGATGGGGAAACATATTTGAGGCATAGTCAGGGAAATAAAATTGACAGAATTTAATGACTCATTACATTAAGGGATAAGGTAACAAAAGTCTCAGTATAATATAATTTATAAGTTCTGTCTTAAATAATTAGTGTATATTATAGTACCATAATCTGAGGAAAGAAATACAGGAAAGAAAACTCATAAGTTCAGTTTTGAACCTGTTTCAAATTGTAATGCCCGAGAGACTTCCAAGAAGACATGTTTAACAGATAAAATTGAATTTTTTTTTTTTGAGAGTCTTGCTCTGTCACTCAGGCTGGAGAGCAGTGGCATGATTTCAGCTCGTTGTGCAACCTCTGCCTCTCAAACTCAAGCAATCCTCCTACCTCAGCCTCCTGAGTAGCTGGGACTATAGGCACGTGCCACCACACTCAACTAATTTTTACTTTTTTTGTAGAGATAAGGTCTCACTATATTGCCCAGGCTGGTCCTTAAACTCATGGGCTCAAGCAATCTTCCCACTCGGCTTCCCAAAGAGCTAGGATTACAGCATGAGTGACCATGCCCTGCCAGTAATTGAGCAAGTCTGAAGCTAATAAGAGGAGTTAGGATAAAGAATAAAAAAGATGAATTTGAAAACAGTTATATGTAGCTGGTAGTAAGAGCAATATAATGAACAAGATCATCCTGAAAGAGCATGCAGACATAAAATACTGGGGCAAAGAAGGAACTCAGAGAAATCTCCCTTGAAAGGGTTCAACAAAACAAAGGCAACCACTCAAAAAATGTATAATCAAAATACAAAACATCATGAAAGTACTGAAAGAATAAAAACATTTCATAAATCTTGAGAAAATTAAAAGCAAGGAAAACTCTCAAAGCCTGAAGGAGAGAATTCTAAGAAAAATAAAAGGAAATACCAACCTAAATGGCAGAGTATAAGAAATAAAATCAGTTACAGACAGATCCATGCCAATTTAAAATATAAAAAGAGTTTACATAAGTTGCACATGGTCAACTGAGTGCACCGAGTGATCAGTCTAAACAATATAGGAAAATACCATGCCCTTCCACAAAAGCTTAAGGACATAATATCAGTCTGACTCAGTATGAATAAGCAATATTTTTTAAATCCACCTAAGTGAAAATGTTATTTTTCACTGACTATCAGGCATAAATGCTCTCCATATTGTTTTCATTTTTGTGGTCACTCTAAACATTACCTGCATTGACACTGTGATCATTTGAAGGGCAGCATCTGCTTCATCTTGCTTCGTTTTAAGTAACACACTTTGTTCTCCAGCTTTTCTGTTCAGTTCATCCACAAGAGCTTTAGCTTCATTTAGTTTAGATACACCAGCCTACATCAATAAAATATTGATCGGCAATATTTTAAAAAAGGAATTTTACACACACAGTAAATAAAGCCCTATAGAAAAGAATCAAGCAAACATGTTAAGTGTGTATATACAAAACAGTAGCAAGTAGACTTAGGTTTTTTCTTATTGCTAATTATAACAATTTATTTCACATGATACTCATTAAGATGTAGTTAAAGATCCCACAGAGGTTTTAAAGAAAAACAAATTTTAAAGCATCGCAGAGAATGGTTCCACATGTGCAAATCAGCTAACATAATATATCACATCAACAGAACAAAGGACAAAAACCAGATAATCATCAAAATAGACACAGAAAACACATCTGATAAAATTCAACATACTTCAAGGCAAGAACTCTCAAAAAATTAGGCATTGGAGGAACATACCTCAACATAATAAAGTCCAAAAATGACAAACCCTCTGCCCACATCACACTGAATGGGGAACAGCTGGAAGCCTTTTCTAAGAACTGAACAAGACAAGGATGCCCACTTTCACCACTCCTATTCAACATAGTACCAGAAGTCCAAGCCACATCAATCGGGCAAGAGAAAGAAACAAAAGACATCCAAATTGGAAAAGAGGAAGTCAAATTGTCCCTCTTTATAGCTGGGCATGATTTTATATCTAGAAAAACCTAAAGACTCCACCAAAAAACTCTTAGAAGTAATAAGCAAATTCGGTAAAGCTGCAGGATACAAAATCAACACAGAAAAATCAGCAATGTTTCTATACATCAATAATGAACTCACCGAAAAAGAAATTAAGAAGGCAATCCTATTTACAGCAGCTACAAAAAAATAAATAACACCTAGGAATAAAGTGAACCAAGGAGAGGAAAGACCTCTACAAGGCAAACCACAGCATACCAATGAAAGAAATTGAAAAAGATAGGAAAAAAAAAAAAAAAGGGAAAGACATCTCATGCTCATGGATCAAAAGTATTAGCATTGTTGTGGCTGGGTGCAGTGGCTCACACCTCTAATCCCAGCACTTTGGGAGGCTGAGATGGGTGGATCACTTGAGGTCAGGAGTTCCAGACCAGCCTGGCCAACATGATGAAACCCCATCTCTACTGAAAATAAAAAATTAGCCAGGCATGGTGGCACCTGCCTGTATCGCAGCTACTCGGGAGGCTGAGGCATAAGAATCTCTTGAACCCAGGAGTTGGAGGCTGCAGTGAGCCAAGACCGCACTATTACATGCCAGCCTGGGCAACAGAGCAAGACTCCTACTCAAAAAAAAAAAAAAAAGAAGAAGAAGTACTAGTATTGTTAAAATGGCCATACTACTCAGAGCAATCTACAGATTCAATGTAATATCTGTGAAAATACTAATTACATTCTTCACAGAAATTTTTTTAAAAATCCAAAAATTTGTTTGAAACCACAAAAGAGCCTGAATAGCCAAAGCAATCCTGAGCAAAAAGAACAAAGCTAGAGGCATCACACTACCTGACTCCAAAATATACTACAAAGCTACAGTAACCAAAACGGCACAGTATTTGTATAAAACAGACACACAGACCAATGGAACAGAATAAAGAACCCAGAAATAAATTCATGTATTTATAGTCCACTGATTTTCAGCAAAGTATATATTGGGAAAAGGACACCCTCTTCATTAAATGGTGGTGGGAAAATTGGATATCCACATGCAAAAGAATGAAACTAGACCTCCTTCTGTCATCATATACAAAAAATCAACTCAAAATGAATTAAAGACTTAAACAAAAGACCTGGAACTATAAAACTTCTAGAATAAAACATTGAGGAAATGCTCCAGGACATTGGTTTAGGCAAATATTTTATGGTTAAGACCTCAAAAGCATAGGCAACAAAAATGAAAATAGAAAAATGAGACTATATTAAAGTAAAAAGCTTCTTCACAGCAAAGGAAACAATTAACAGAGTGAATAAACAACCTGTTAAATGGGAGAAAATATTTGCAAACTGTTCATCTGACAAGAGGCTTAATATGTAGATTATACAAGAAATTCAAACAACTGAACAACAACAACAAAGAATTCCATTAAAAAGCAGGCAAAGGATCTGAATAGATTTTTTTTTTTTAAAAGACACACAAATGGCCAACGGTATATGAAAAAATGTTCAACATCACTAATCACCCTTTGATCATTACACATTCTTGTATGAATCAAAATATCACATGTACCCCATAAATATCAATAAAATTATCATTATATATAACATTTTAAAATAAATCCATAAGACTTAAAAAAAAGCATCATAGAAAAGCTAAACAGATAAATACATATTTGATAGTTTAAACACTGAACTTAATAAAAAACACTTTTTACCATTACATTAGATGGGAGAGAAAATAGCAAGCAAGGGGTAACTCACTAAACCTTTTCTAATTTTAGTCTCACTGATTGGGAAAAAGGACTCAAGAGTCACTGTTTTTTATAGTAGACATGACTTGGTTTTGTCTGTCTAATATTCATTTTTCTTGTAAGAGACTTTCTCACATATGGTTCTGGTGGGCTGTCATTCACTTGCCTTACCTGCATTTTGAGTAGACATTTCACCCTGGCCTGGCCATTATGGTACCCCATCCTACTGTGCAAACAGCAGAATAATGAACCCAGGGATGTACATGAAAAAAATTCTTTACCTTCTATCATGTTTTTGTCACCTAACAAATCAGAAGATTTGGGGAAAGAGTAATGGCAAAAAAGGAATGTAATTAATAACTATTGAGCACCCATCATAAAGTACAGGTATTAAGCTAAGTTTTTTCCATATGAATTTTATCTAATACACTCACATACAACTACCATTGACCCAATTAAGCTGCAAAACAGTAAGTTAAAGTGATTTATCCAAAGTACCATAGAGAACTAAATCAGGAAATTAACCCTCCCCAAAGCCCGTATAGTTAGTACCTTAATATAAATGAAAGTGAATCATTAGAAATGATTAAGATAATTATGTCAATTAAGATGGAGCCTACTTTACTACCCTAACAAAGGGAAACTAAAACTTTAGAGAGGAAATGTTCTCTAACAACTTCAGAGGCTGACATTCTAATGTCACATTTAAGTTAAAGCTTTATAGTTAAAGAAATACGGAAAGAAAACTGTTCAGAATGTACTAAGTGAGGTGACATGGATGAAAACATTACTTTATAAAATATAATCTTAATTTTAAAGGTTATTATAAAATATAATCTTGGATATTATGTTTCAGTTAATAACAGGGTTTTCTTTTTTCTTTATTATTATTTTATTTTATTTTGCCATTAGTTATTGGGTACAGGTGGTATTTGCTTACATAAGTTCTTTAGTGGTGAATTGTGAGATACTGGTGCACCCATCACCAGGGCAGTATACACTGCACCATATTTGTTGCCTTTTATCCCTCCCCACCCTACTCTTACCCCCAAGTCCCCAAAGTCCACTGTATCATCTTATGCTGAATAACAGAGTTTTCTTAATTTCTAAAAATGTTTTCATGTGAAAGAGACTCTTAAAGAGAGTACCATAAGCTATCAAAAATCCATAAATGCCAACCAGCGAAGAAAAGAAATAACCACTGAATTTTAAAAAAAATACAAATCATCACTAAAACCTACAGGGCAATATAGGTAGGAAAGTGAGACTGTTTTCCAAGGCTTTTAATACAGTACATTTATTAATACCAGATATATGCCACCCGCAACATAGCATTGTGATTTACAAAACTCTTGTTTCCTATATATAGATAAAATAATTCAAGATTACCAATACTATACCTGCAAATGACTTTGTCTTTTTAATAATTCCTTTTTCTTGCTACTACTAATGGCAGAATACACATGTAAAAAGGTCATGTATCGGCTTGGTGTAGCACCATATGCTTTACAAGATTCATGGATTAATAAAAATGATTTTAGAAAATCAGGATCAACTAGAAAAAAATAGAAAATAAAAATAACTTATTATATGTATGATTCATTAAAAATAAGAGAAAATATCCTAATGATAGTTATTTTATACAAGATACTTCCATGCTATATAGTTATAAATATGAGATAGCATCTTTGCTTAAAGATGCACAGGCATTCCTAGACAACTATTCACAGCTCCCATCTTCCTTAGGAATTTTGAGTTCTCTAGTTTTAGTAGCATCTATATATTGTTATATATTTCCCCTGAACATCTTTATTGTTGCAAGAAAAATAAATCTACATGTTGTCATAACATATAAATTAATTGGGACTATATAACACATGTACAGTAATCCAAAAGTGAGCTAAATACAATCTGCTGAACAGAAAAGCAATACACAAAATACCTATCCACTCCCATTTGATACAGGGAGAAACAAGACTTCAAAAGCCAAAAAGTTAAGAATAAGTTCACACTAGATTCAATATATCCATGATCAAACACATTATATTCCTCTCACCGACACAATTTGCATCTGTATTCCCTGCCCCAGTGAATGAAATCAATTTGTAATGAATATTCCAAGACAGAACCCAAAAAACATCCTCGACTCTTTCTTCTTCTTGTGTGCCACAGCCATTACATAATCATCAAGTCTCATTTAGATTACCTCCTAATATCCACCAAGTCCATTCCTTCCTCCATTATTATTACTTCTTCTTTGGTTTAGGCCTTCATCTTGTCTCTCTTAGATTACTACAACAAACTTCTAAAGTGATGTAATTGCTTTTGGTTTCTCCTATTACCAATCTATTTTCCAATAACTGAAGAAAGGGATATATAAAGATATTTGTTTCTAAAATGAAATTCTGGTAAAATCTCCTTTTAAATCTCTCAATAATACCCTATCACCTGCAAGTTAGAATCCAAACTCCTTAGCATAATGCAGAAAGCTCTTCATTACCTGACCATGCCAACCTTTTCCTCCCTCTTCATCTAGTACTTATTTATACATCTTATGTTTCAGCCCTTTAGGCTATTTATAGTTTCATAAGATGCCTGTTTCACTTTTCCAAACCTTTCCCATGTTACTCACTCTAACCAGAATGACTTTCTCAAGCTGCCCGTCTGGGCAATGTCTATTTCCTATAATATCTGCTAGTCTGAAGTTTTACTTTCCAATTATTTCATAGAAAGTTCTACTATCACTTATCTTGCTATATCAGAAATTTATGTTTATATATAACACAATTCTCACTATCACTGGACTATGAGCTACCAAGTGATCTCTAATATCCAGCCCAGTACAGTATAAAACAAGTTCAATAAATATTTGATTATTAGATGGTTAAATAAATAAGTTAATAAGCTATGGTATAAAAATAAAGACCACAATCAAAATTAATTTGAAGAGAAAATAATGAGAATATTATAGTTAAGAAGATTAAGCCCATATTCAAAGAATGTCATAAAACTTTTTCATATATAAATTATAGAGTTCTGTGCCATATCTAAGTGATAAGCTAATATGAAAAGTTTAGGTTGCTTGCCAAAGACTCTAAACAATTTAAGTAGGTCCTTCAAATCACTCAGGTCAGAAAAATAAGTTTTAAACTTCTTGAACTCACACAGTAGATATTCTGTTGGGTTCTAGGTTAAATGACATACCATTAATTTAAAAATAAAAAGGGCTTCAAAATTTTGTTTGCATCAGAAGAAATCTAATTTTGTTACACTTAGCATTATTCAAATTTATAATCATGAATCTTTAATGGATCTGTAGCATTAAAAACGGCAATTATTTCATAAATAAAAACCAGATCAAACTGATTTTATCAAAATACTACCTGAATTTTTTTTCTTTTCTTCTTTTCGTTTTTTATCATTGTATTTTTCTCCACCACCTGTTTCACTGAATAACATTTCAGGTATCTAAAACATAAAAAGAATATCACTATGAAAGAGTATAAGTCCCATATCATAAGTTAAAAACCTTTAATACAAAAAAAGTCAGTATTGATTGTACTTTTCTTCTAGGATTCATTCCAGACTAAGAGACAAAAATAATACAGAAATCTTTAGAAGAAATGATTTCCAAGACAACATTTTGACACACATCAACCATTAACTGATTGCAATGGCACACTGGGAAAAGCTCACTTGAAATGGTGAGACTATATGAAGTAAAGGAAATTACAATTTGGATTGAATTAGAAAATAATCACAATGTCATTTAAAAACATACAATAATAAAAATATTTTATTTGGCATAAAACTAGTAAAATGCCTTCATGACATAGTGGGGTAGCAAGGATTCTTAGCTTTTTCAAAAAAAAACTAAAATTAAATAAAAATAATTTTATAATCAATAATTTCATAACTGATCATTCTAAAAAGTATATTCTCACTGTGACTGGAATTTTGCCACTACTGTAAATAAGCAAATACAGTTTCATAAGCAGATATCATTATTATTAAAGTAAAGATAACCTTATAAGAATGCTACTTTAGAATATACAAAAGAAAGTTTAGTGTCCTGAAAAAAAATTAAAGTAACAATTTTGAAATTTTAAATTAAGCCAAATAGCTTCAATTTCTTTCACCTGATAGAGCTGAAGTTACCAGCAAGAAGAAAACACAAGTGATCTTGGTAATTAGGTCAAAAAATCATTTTTTAAATTTCTCAGACTGAAAAAAAAATGTAAGCCAAAAGATGTCTTCATTAATGCAGAGTTCGAATGTACCATAATTCTTGTGACAGAGAGTATGCCTTCACTGATTTCTGACAAAACACTTAAACCTATACGAGAATATTTTAAACTTATATTTTTAAATCAACGTTAATTTGTTTCTTTGGGAACTCGTTTTCTTTAAAATGGTCTATCCTCAAACAATATCCTACATTAGCAAAGTGTGCTGGCCTGATTTGCCCCTGTTCCTTCCCTTGAAGTAAAAATGGTACTTTTTAAAGAGTTGAATGGGCATAGTAAGCCTATTAATTTGCTTTATTTTCATCTATTACATATTCTCATATATTTCATATATTAACATATTCATAACATAATATATAACATATATTAACATTTTCATACATTAACATATCCAAAACTGATGGATCCTATCAACCCCTTCACACTAACTTTCAATTGCTTCTAGTTGCTTATTAAATAAAATTCAAAGTTATGGCACTTAAACACTTCCCCTCCTTAACTGTCCCCAATCTGGCTTTTAATGATATTTCCCACTACAATGTTCCACATACCCTGTGCAGCAGCCACATGAACTCTCTGTTTCCCAAGCACACCATGCAATATCATGTCCTTGAACCACTGGGCCTGCAAGTGCAAGTTCAAGGCAGTGCCCTCTTGTACTTCATCACTAATTCAAAATCATCCTCACTAAGCTCCCTAAATTCAGTTTTCATATTATCAGGCTAGAGTAACCACTAACCCTCCATGGTGCAGGCATCTACCAGTCCAATCATTTCTTCATTCCACAAATAATTTTAGCTCTTGGCTCACTGTCACTCTTTCCAACACAATCCTTGTCTTACCTTCTTAATTATTTTCAATTTCAATATCCATTATAGATAATCCCTCTAATACCCTCATGTCTCAATTCCTTGGTTGCCTCTTCTCCTCTTAGCCACCAACCTTTTGTCAGCCACTCACCTACACAGTCAAATCATGAGATTTTGTAATTATCACTAAGTGAAATCCTTCCATAATCTCACTTTCAAACATCCCATTCTTCTATCACTATATTCCTGTCTTCCCAGCTTACTCCCTTCCAACATCAAAATCCTGAAACTCCACTGAAACCTACTATCTACCAATTTGACCACCTCTTCACTGTCATTCACCATCTTCCTATCCTAATTTACCACCTTACCAACTTAAATTCCATGGTAAATCAAAATAATTATATTCTTATAAATATTCTCAACTCTCTTGCCTTCAATTGTTTTGTCATACTCAAGCACCAAAGTCCCAATTCTGATCAAATCTAAGTCACCACCTACTCAAGGTCTGCATCCATCAAAGCACCTATGGCTTGAGAAAAAAACACACAACTATGTTGTTTGGCCTCTACTGAACTCCATGATCACTAACCTCAAGTGAATCCTATCATACTCCATTCTCCTAATCCTTTCCCTCTTTCACTCTCCCAAACTACTGTTTTCCATGTCTTCTTGTGTCTCTTTAAGCCTCCAAAGCCTCCTCCCTCATTCTTTCCCTCAGGGGATAATCTTCCTATTTCGCTAAGAAAATAGAAACAATTAGAAAAGAGTATCCCAAACTTCCCAGTACCATACCTGCCCACCTACCTGGATCTATCCCCCTCTATTCTGCTTTCTTTCCTGTTATCACAAATGATTCCTCCATTCTCATAGGAAATGCCGATCCTTAATTCTTCCATTTGTACACTAGATCCATTTGCTGTGCACTTACTCAATGATATTATTCTAGCAATTTTTCCCTGTTTTGCATCACATATTTTTTGCTTCCCTATTAAATCATTCTCAACAGCATATGAACATACTATAGTGTGTCCCATCTTTTTTTAAAAAAAAAAAAAAAAAAACAGGCCCAGGCACGGTAGCTCACGCCTATAATCCTAGCACTTTGGGAGGCCGAGGCAGGTGGATCAATTGAGGTCAGGAGCTCGAGACCAGCCTAGCCAACATGGTGAAACCCATCTCTACTAAAAATACAAAAATTAGCCAGGTATGGTGGCAGGCACCTGTAATCTCAGCTACTCGAGAGGCTGAGGCAGAAGAATCGCATGAAGCCAGGAGGCAGAAGTTGCAGTGAGCCGAGATTGCACAACCACACTCCAGCCTGGGCGACAGAGCAAGACTCTGTCTTGGAAAAAAAAACAAAACTATTTTTACCCCTCCTTCCTCCAGTTACTGACCCATTTCTCTCATCCTTTAAACAAAATTCCTTAAAAGAGTGTACCCACATTCATTGTCTCCAATCTTCTCATTCTTTCTGAAACGTATTCCAATACGGCTTTTTCCATTACTAACTGCAACTGCTCCATCAAAGTCACCAACGATTTCCACATTGCTAAACCCAATGATCAATTCCTAGTCCTTATCTACTTTCATTGTTCATCATACTTTCTTCCTTTGACATGCTATCTTCTTTTGGTTTTTAAAATATAATGTTTGTCTGGTTTTCTTCTTATTTCCCTAGCAGCTGCTTCTCAGTGTCCTTTGGTTCTTCCTCTTCATCTCTCCAGTTTCTTAATGTTGAAGTGCCCTAGGGTTCAGTCTTGGATTGCTGCTCTCTTTTGTTTATTCTTACTCTCTTGGTGATATCATTCATTCTTATAGCTTTAAATATCACCTGCACTCTGATAATTCCTCAAATTTTTTTCTGTATGCCTGACCCCTGGAGCTCCAGGCTTATATTTCCAAATGCCTTCCCAAACTTATAAGTTCAATGTCTGGTATCTCATATTTAACACATCTAAAACTGAAGGCCTCATAGTCTCATCTTAATATGTTCTTTTCACAGTATCCTCTGTCTCAAATGATAGTCATTTCATCCTTCTAGTTGCTCAAGCCAAATATTCAGAAGGATCATTGACCCCTCACTTTCTGTTACACCTTATTACAATCTGTCAGCAAATCCTGTTGTTTCTACTGCAAAATGTATGCAGAATACAACCATTTCTCACCACCTTACCACTACATCCTTAGCCCAACCTATCCTTTTCTCTCTGGATTACTGCAATCATTTGTAACTGCTCCAACCATTGCTCTCTATAGTCTACTTTCAGCACAGAAACTACAGTAATCCCATTAAAAAATGAGTCAGAATATTTCTGTTCGAAAGCATCCAAAAGTAAGTTAGTTCTCAGGAAAAGCTGAAATCCTATAGAGTGTAGTAGCTTACAAAGCCCCATCCTAACTGGTTTCCTCTTAGTTCTCTGACATCATCTTCACCAACTCTCCCCTCAATCACTCTGCTCCAGGTGAAGTTGCCTCTTACTGATCCTCAAAATCATCAGACATGCTCTCTACCCAGGATCTTCACCTAGAAAGCTTTCCCCGCAGATATACCTGAGAAGAATGTAAACACCATGAGGGCAGGGATTTCTCTCTGGTTTTTTTTCGTCTGCTATGTCCTCAACATATATAGAACAGTGGTACTTACTAAGCACCCAATAATTACTTCTTAATGAATGCCTCTTATTCACGTGGCCTCCTCAAGCTAAAATATCTTTCAGTAACTAAAATATTACCTCATCTGTAAACCATGTCTTTTATCTCCAATTACACTCCTTACTCTGAATCATGGCAGGCATTAAACTATACTTCTCTTATAGAAAAATAAAGAAATTAGTGATTGAGAATATGAATATCATTTAAACAAACAATGTTGAAATTATTACTTATTCAAATGAGGTAAAATAAGAGGCTTCCAGTTAAGATAGTGTTATGAGTTCACAATTTAACTCATCCCCCTCCAAACACACAGCATAGTGATGATATTTTTTAAGGATTTAAAAATTCTTTAATTGTTAAATACTTGCTATGATTTTTTAAAAATCTAGGACAGCCTGTAATAGGCTAGTTAATTAAAGCCATAAAATTTTAAAGTATAGTTGTCTCTGGGGTCCTTAATTAAGAACATGATCCTCAATCTAAAATTCTACATTCAACTAAATTATGATGCAAGAGTACGAAGAAAACAGACATTTCCAAACATAAGAGATGTTTGGTGCCATAATTAAGGTGATGTTATAACCAACACCAAAGAGAAGTTGTGAAAATCAATAACTTCAAAAATAAAATGTGCTTTTAAATTTTTTAATATTTGTTAAACTTACTTTCTTCATACTGCTATTGGACCAACCCTCCATCCACAACACCTGGCATTTCTTATGCAAAGCTGGATTACTCTCACAGTTTATCATGAAGTTTGAATTTGCAGAATCCATTATCAAGACAATATGCAAGTTTTGCTGAATTCCTAAGAAATATATAAGAATAATAATACAATCAGGCAATCTATACGTGGTCTGGGTTAAAGAGATCAAAATTTTCTCAAATGAAATAGTAGGAGTTGTTTCTTAAAACGAGCACAATATAAAACAATATTATGTTATGATTTTTATTTTAGTTAAAAGAACACTTATAAATTTGTGTATGTGCATGTTAAGAAAAAAGACTCAGAAAAATGTCCATGAAAAATGTAAGTGTCATAATGTCTGGGTGGTGTGATTATTGCCTCATTTTTTACTTATTTCAATTTTGGATTTCTACAGTGCATATAAAACTGTTTCTATAAGAATAAAAGGCTAGTTTTTTAAAACTATGAAGTCTGGCACAATCTAAATGGTTCAATAGTTCTTTAAGACAGGAGGTACTAAAGCAGCACTAATTTCACCACATGAAACAAAGGAGGCAAGGTAAATATTCCAAAGAACATTACCATACTTTCATCATTCCTGTTTGCTAAAATTTTGCTAAGGTATTGATATGGTTTGGCTCTGTGTCCCTACCCAAATCTCATTTTGTAGCTCCCATAATCCCCACGTGTTGCGGGAGGAACCTGGTGGGACATGATTGAATCATGGAGCGGGGCAGGTATTTCCCATGCTATTCTCATGATAGTGAATGGCTCTCATGAGATCTCATGGTTTTAAAAACAGGAGTTTTTCTGCACAAGCCCTCCTTTGCTTGCTGCCATCCATGTAAAATATGACTTGCTCCTCCTTCCCTTCCACCATGATTGTGAGGCCTCCCCAGCCATGTGGGAACTGTGAGTCCAATAAACCTCTTTCTTTTGTAAATTGCTCAGTGTCAGGTAAGTCTTTATCAGTAGTGGAAAAACAGACTAATACAGGTGTTTTTATTATAGGTTAGCCTATCCACTAGTTAGGTGTTACTTTCTAAAAGCTCCAGAAAAAAGATTTAAGATACCTTTGCAATCTAATGACAAAATAAGGCAAATTAAATGATATATATTTCATACAAACCAGTTTGATTTGATTAATGAATTCTATGTCACTTACTATATGTGAAGTAATTGAAGACTGGTCCAAAAAAACCATCTTGTGAAGCTTGATCCTTAAGTGGTAACAGCAAGGGCTCTAATTCTTCAAGAGTATAGAGTCCAGGAACTTCACCTACAGAAAAATATTAGACTAATTGAAAACATTTTAATAAATGATGCTTTTTCAATTTTTGTATTTAAAAATCTGCTCTTATTCAATCTTTATTTCCAAAAATATACAAACTTTATTACCTCTACTTGACTCACAAATCTTTATCTATAGCCCTCATTTGATAAAATTCAAACACCTAAGCAAACCACTCAAAATAGTCATACACTAGCCATCTGTCTACCTTTACTGGTTATTTTTCCATCTTCCTCCATAAGACCTTGTACTCTAGCCTCAATAAACTTGTGTTCCATAAACACAACAAAATATTCTCTCTTCTTGGAATGTATACTTACAGTCATCCTCTGCCCCTTATCTTGATACCCAATAAATTCTTATCCTTCAAGATGCTACTTCCCTAACTGCTATGCCCATAAGCCTTTCTTGACTGCCCATATGCTGATTAAACACTCTTTCTCTTTCACATACTATTCAAATATATCACTTTTTAGCACTTATCACATCATTTAATAATGAATTACTTCCTTCTTATCTCCAATTAGACTTTAAATTTCTGAGGACAAATATTTGACAATGTTCAACATTTAACCCTAGAATATTCTTACCTAAGTATCTAGAACAAAAATATGTTTTACATAAATGAATGAATGAAAAGATGAACTTGTACTAGAAATCAGAAGAACTGGTCCATGGCCTGCTACTATGCAGGCCAAATCATGATGATGAATAGAATGATGAAAGGCAAATCAAAGTTGATTAAGACTACAACTTTAGTCTTAAAGACAGACTTAAAGATAGAGGGCCTGGAGCACATCTTGTTCACTTCTACAAATTGTAACAGTATTTAAAACTTGGTCCTGCATATAAGAGGCATTTAATAAATATTTGTTAAGCCAATATGTTTACAATTCACAAGAAACTATAACATTAAGTGAAAAGTCCTTTGCTACACATCCAAAATAATGCATTCATATAAGGCCCATCACAGTCTGATCCCTACTTTTCTTTAGGTTCAACTAAGAGGCACCAGACCACCCCCACCCCACAAGCTTGTACATACTTGAACACATGCACACATAAATCTGTATATGTTTTTCTTCAAATTTTAGACATACCAAGATATTTTTGATTCCTTAAATTTAGCAAAAAATGTCAGCTCTATCTATATATTATACACATTAGGGAATAAGAATTTGAAATAGAAAAAAGAAACCAAGCCTACTGAATACCTCCTCTGAAAATAAAATGCCAAGATTTGACTTCTCATTTTTACGATTATATCTTGATAATAAAGACCAATTTGTCTTAAAATAATGATTATTAGGTTAGTGCTTATCTGAATGTTTGCTTTCCAAAAAAAAAAAAAAAAAATCTGTGTTTCTGGTCTCATCAGCCAAAATGAACAATGTCTCCATCTAGTGACAACTGAAGCAATACGCAGGAATGTATTCCTTAAATATCAAAAGATGGAACGCTCTAAGTCCACTCAAGTACTACTACTTTCACTAAGCCATTATCCCTCAACTTTTTAACAGAAATGGATCTACCACTTGTCTAATTAGAGCATCCTGGTCTGTATTTCTCATCTGGGCACTAATGTTTAAATATTACTTATTATTTAACCAAAGCTGTTAAATTCTGAAGAAAATTTCTCCTCAGAGCACTAGCATGATACAAAGCAAGTATTTATTGAAAACTGAGTTGAAAATGAGTTCATATAACTTTGTCCTTTGATCCCCACAGTGATACCACCCATACAATTGAAACTAGTTTTTAAGGTTTATTTTGTACTTAAATAACAAAACACTCTTGATCCAAGTTTAAAACTAAGCTACTTCCTCCCAATCACTAACAGTGATTACTCATAGAAATATTCTAACAAACTTCATAAATTCTTCAAAAAAAAGGAAGAAATATAGGAATTCGCAAGTGTCCTCCCCAGGAAGACACCAAAAAGGTCAGGTAACACCACAGACAGCAGGAGAGTACCACAGTTTGCTGGGGACAGAGCCACAGGAGAAGAGTAGCAACAGTTCTTAGTTCAGGTTGCAGAGACTCAATTAGGGAGTCACAATAGCCAAATGATACTCCCACCATACCCCAGAGATTTTAATTCAATGGATTTAGGGTAGTAGCAAAGAATTCGTTTTTAGTTGTTGTTGTTGTTGTTGTTTTTAATTATCCTAGTGATTCTAACGTGCAATTAGGGGTGAGAAATGCTGAGGAATATAAATGGACAGTGCTTCATGTTATATCTCAGAGGAAAAACAAGACTCGAACTTATCTCAGAGGCAAAATGCAAGTAATGATTTTCAAACCATAGAAATCTTGAAAACATAAAACAATAAATATCTCTACAATCCATAGAATTCCAGATACATAGAGAGCCCACTTAGCCATAAATTTCTAGAGAGTATTTGTATTAAGATAGTCCTCTTTCAAGTGGTATTTTTCTATTATACAGATGCATAAAGTACATATAAGTTCCTTTTTTCCTTAAAAATAATTTTAATTTCTTCTTTTAAAAAACAAGATTACTGGCCAGACGCGGTGGCTCACATCTGTAATCCCAGCACTTTGGGAGGCCAAGGCGGGAGGATCACCTGAAGTCAGGAGTTCGAGACCATCCTGGCCAACATGGTGAAACCCTGTTTCTACTAAAATTACAAAAATTAGCCAGGCATGGTGGCGCATGCCTGTAATCCCAGCTACTCAGGAGGCTGAGGCAGGAGAATCACTTGAACCTGGGAGGGGGAGGTTGCAGTGAGCCGAGATCATGTCACTGCACTCCAGCCTGGCGACAGAGCAAGACTCTGCCTCAAAATAAATAAATAAACAAACAAGCAAACAAACAAGATTACTTATTACTTGATTTGTAATATCCAACTGAAGAAGGAGAATGTGCATTTTTCCAGGTTAATGAATGCAACTATATTCCAGACACATGAAATGTGGGCACTAATGTGTAGCATTATGTGGAATTTCATATATCTGGAGTATATGTATATTCATATATCCATACTAAGGCCATACTATTATATAGTTATACAACCATGCCACTACTGATAGGAAGGTTCTATCAAATGTTTGTGATTATAAATTATACTACCTATTTTCTTACATACTACTTCTTTTATTTCTGTGGGTTAAATTCCTACAGATAATAGAATGGTACATCAAAGAGTATGGCACAGCTTTTAATAAGTCCTAGATGATAATTTTCCCAAAGGTTATAACAGATAATAACCCAGCAAAAGTATATGTAAAAGTCAATTTTTCTGAATATTCACCAATACTCAATATTAACAATTTTTATATGTCTTAAATTATTGGTTTTATAAAAATGGAGTCTCTCAATTCTCCTGCCATGAGCATGTTTAACACCATGTCTCCTAAGTAAGAACTATGCCAAAAGTTCTCCAAAACAAATAAATTTTGCACAAGATAATTTTACTTGGATAATTTTTATGCCATTATTTTTATTTTCTTCGAAAAGAAACTGTTCACTTGCCTGAAGACAAAAGGCTATTGATCATCTCCAAAAATGTAGGATGTACAAACTGGTAATCCTCAAGAAGTAAAACTACCTGTTGTGCTTCAATTCCTGCAAGTTGCAGCACCTGCAAAATCAGAAAATATTTTTTAGTGCCCTTTAAGTATTTTTGGTACAGTTAAAAATTAACATTTTGTATTTGTATGTAAAGTATGCCAGTATCATGTGTTTATTTATTCATTTATTTCCATTTTAATAATTAAAAATCAAACTTTAGCCACATAATTTGGAAAGTAAATCCAACCCCTAAGTAAATACTAATTATTTTACAGCTAGGCCATTAAAATTAAAACAAGTAGATCATTTTTATCTCTACTCATATATTTCCTATGTAAATTCCATCCTTCTGTTTACCATTCATGTCTGTCTAACATCCCATGACCTGGAGTATCTGCTTCCTAGAAATTCTAATAGTATTCTCTTTCCTGTCTATAGATAAAAATGTAATTTTCTAATAATCATGGAAAAAATAATCTAAATTAAAATAAAGACTACATTGTATAACAGAGAACTTTAGTTCTTTAAAGATGTTCTTTAAAACTTTAGTTCTTTAAACCTTTAGGTCTTTAAAGATGTTTAGAGTAATAACCAATGTAATTTAAAACCAAATAAAGCAAAAGAGAGTGGGCAACTCACATGTTTGAGATCATTTTTGAACTGCTTCAGTTCATATCCTCTGGAAATCTTTGGAGAAAACAGGACCGCTCCATGCATGTGACTGACTAAAGAAGTGATGGTCCGACGACCTACACCACTGCGTCCTGCTAATAGAAGTGAACCTCCAGGGAAACTCAGCACTCTATCTATCCTAGACATATACTCCAAGACTTCGTGGAAAAGTAAAATGTCTAAATTCTGGTTATCTCGTCCATAATGAATAAGACCCTTTTAAAAAAATCAGAATATTTTATAATTAATATAAGCCCTAATTACATAATAAAAATGTTACTTACCTAGGTTAAAATATTATATTTTTGATACATTCAAGAAAAAAAGTAAAGTGACTACATATCATCTCACACTCAATATTTTATATGTCTGGTAATCCTGGATAAATATATTGGCATTCTCTAAGGAAAAACTCATGTCAAACAAGTTCAAGGGTCCGTGAAAATCAGTTACTTTTGGTCACTGCTACACTAATAAAAAGCAGCATGAGATAGCAGGTTAATTATAAAACTTTAAAATTGCTCAAATTTTATCAGTTGTCATGAATCAGTGTGCATAGACCATGAAAAAAATCCCCAAACTCTAGAAATCTAGTGCCTAAAAAATCTTTTGTGAATGTTTGTTCTTTCGCATTGCTTGGGAATGAATCAAAAGCTAACACAGGTACCATGCTCTGCCAGGGACTACCTGATAGAGTGCAGGAAGGGAGAAAGGAAAATTAGACTTTACATATTTAACAACTTTCAACGCTTCAAAACTTTGCAACATCCATTCCAGGCGAATCAGTTTACCAGACCATGAAAAAATGTTTCCTGATATAAAATCCACACTAACATTCAATATAAATATTAATTTTTAAAGCAATCATTTGCAATACTGTTTCTTCTTCTTGATTATAACTAAACTTTAAAAGAGAAAGAAACTCTCTAGGATAGCACTACTCAAAGTTTCAGTGGACCAGCAGCATCAACATCATCTGGGAGCCTCTTAGACATCTGGACTACCTGGGTCACCTAATGAATCTGACACTTAAGAGGATGAGACCCAGGAATCTGCATATTTTCTAATCTCTACATGACTCTAATGCTCTCTAAAGTTTGACAACCACTGCTCCAGAGTAATTTCCTGATTAATATTAAACCTCATTAATATTTCCAACATACCTTTGCCCAAAATGTATCTTAGCAATTTTACACATATCTATGTAAGTACAGGCACATCTCGTTACATCCGCCACAATGGACTAAATTCCAAAAGATAAGAACCAGCTTTGCCTATTCTACAATCTATCATATTCATGCCCTCTAAATATTTACAATAAATATTTTTAAAAGACTATAATGACCAAATCCCAGTTCCAATTAATGATTCATATTATACCTTTTTAATAACATCCTTGAGATCAGTAGAGTTTAGTTTTCCAAGTGGTTTTCCATGTGGAGGTAATGGTTGTCCTGGGGCTGCCCTTGCTCCTGAATTATGCCGAGCTCCCCATGTAACGTAGAAACTATCTGTGGAAATAAATGATATTTTTGTTTTATATGCATTACTCGTAATGAGAGTTCAACAAATACATTGCCTACTAAAACATTTTTAAGTTAATAATCCAAATAAGATCATCTCCAGAAGGGCAAAGGCAAAATACTTTAAAGTGTACATTGTAAGGTCAATAAAATCAGGTGAAATACAATGACTGAGCCAGGCAAGGTGGCCCACGCCTATAATACCCGCACTTTTGGAGGCCAAGGCAGGAGGATTACTTCAGCTCAGGAGGTCAAGGCCAGCTTAGGCAACATAGCAAGACTCCATCTCTATAAAAAATTTAAAAATTAGCCAGGTGTGGTGGCACGCACCTGTGGTCCTAGCTACTTGGGAAGCTAAGGCAAGAGGATCACTTGAGCCCAGGAGTTTAAGGCTGCCGTGAGCCATGATTGCACCACCGCACTCCAGCCTGGGCAAGAGAGTGAGATCTATCTCAAAAAAATAAATAAATAGAAAAGAAATACAAAGACCTTCAATTGCAATATCAAACTCTACCTGAAAAGTGACTGATGGCACCACTAGTCTATATTCTGCCCCCTCACTTCTTTCTCCTGAAATGAACTGGATTCCTTCTACCTTTCTCCCACTACTCCCCACTGTCTATTCTCAGTTTGTCCCATTTTCCTCCTTCTATTTCAGAATCTACATAAAATTTGTAAATTAAAAATAGTTCACATAAAATTAGCAAATAAAACAATCTCAAAACTCTCCTTGAGAAAGGACATAGATGTATTAATACCAAAAAGAGCCCTAATGTTTAAAAAAAAAACTGACCAAATTTCAATTAGAAAACAAAAATCCCCCAAACTTCCCTTAAATCTACCTATAGCAATGTTCCTGTTACCATACAAGGAAAGTCTATTCATCATTCTATTGAACTTTTTCCTTCCCAACTCTTCTGGGAGACTGTTCCACCAAGCATCCTTGTCACATGCTCAGTTCCAAACTCCCCTAAAAAAACAACCTTACCTTCCCTAGATCCAAGCTATGTCATGTTCTCCCTACTTTCACCATCACATTTTTTACATTATTTTCTATCTGTACAGGCTACTATACTAAAACTTATTTGGGAACAATAATACAGTCATAATCTCCAAATCTAAATCTTCTTTGCAATCATTATCCCAACATGACCTTTGTGCATCTCTTCTTTTGTGCTTGCATCTATGTAACCCTACTTATCACGCCACAACTACCAGTCCTTTTCAGTTTTCTGCTTTATCCCTTATATACTGATACTCCCTGGGGTCCAATTTCAGCCTTCTAGTCTTTTAATTCTAAAATTCTCCCCGAATCATTTAATCTTTTTTTGTCAGTTAAATTATCAATAATTTATATACCAAAAACTCACCTACTACTTATCTTTAGGCAAAACTCCTATGTTCTGGGCTAGTCCTGTACTTCCAATTGCTTAACAGACATATAATTCATGCATTCATTGGCTCAATACTTACCTATTGAGCACCTGTGTTTAAACAAGGTACTTTCTGCCTGAGATAAGTATTGAGTAAGACAAACATGATTCCTACCCTCATAAATGATCAACTCCATGTAGATTTCCAAAAGACATGAAGAAAGATTGCAAACATTCAAAGCACATGTACAAAACTGAACTATTATCCTCACATCTCATCATTTCTCACTTGGACTATTGCAGTAGGCTCTTACCTTGTATCCCTGCTATAAGTTTCTGCCTCCTCAAGTACATCCTTACTACCACTAGCATAACACATATAAAAACAAAACCTGATTGTGCCACACCACTGCAATATCCCATATAGCTTTCCACTTCTTAAAACAAAACAAAACACCAAACTCCTAATGATGGCCCTCCACAATCTGGCTTCACTGATTGTTTGAATCTTCTATCTCTCTCTGCACTATATACTCTAGTTTTCTCAAGCCTCTGTTTCTTTGCACATTGTTTTTCCCTTGTCTGGAATATCCTTCGCTTACTATATTCATCCTTCAAAACACAGTTTGAGCACTTACAATTGTTTTAACAAATTTAAAACTTAGGTATAAGTTAGGTATAAATCTAACATAACATGTATAATACTTGAATGCTGAAAACTACACAAAACTAATGAAAGAAAGCAAAGATCTAAATAAATAGAGGGATTAGATAAATGGAGAAAATGGGAAGACTCAACAGAGAAAAGATGTCAATTCTCCCCAAATCAATATACTGATTTAAGCAATTCCTATCAGAATCTCAGCAACATTGTTTATGGATTCAGAAACGATTATTCTAAAATCTATACGAAAAGACAAAGAAACAGAAATAGCTAAAACAATTTTGAGAAAGAAGTCTAAAGTAGGAAGAATCAGTCTAAACCAATTTCACAACTCATATAGTAGCTAATCAAGACAGTGTGGTACTGGCAGAAGGACAGATACATACATCAATGGAGAACCCAGAAATAGACCCATGTTACCAATTTTTGACAAAGCTGCAAAAGCAATTCAGGCAGAAAGATAGCCTTTTCAACAAACGATGCTGGAGTAAATAAACATCCATAGGCAGAAAAATAAACCTTGACCTAAGTCTCATTCACTATACAGAAATTGACTCACAATGGACCACTGACTCAAATGTAAAACATAAAACTATAAACTTTTAAGGAAAACATAGGAGAAAATCTTCAGGATCTACAACTAGACAGACTCCTTAAACTTGACATCAACAGATCCTTACGATGAAAAATGATAGGTTAGGCTTCACAAAATTATATAAAAACTTTTTATCTGTGAAAGACCCTGCTAAGGGGATGAAGAGACAAGCCTACTGAGAGGGAGAATATATTTGCAAACCATATATCCAACAAAGGATTGGTATCTCTAATATACACATATTCTCAAAACTCAACAGTAACAAACCAATTGCTGGCTGCAGTGGCTCATGCCTGTAATCCCAGCACTTTGGGAGGCTGAGGCAGGTGGATCATTTCAGGTCAGGAGTTCAAAACCAGCCTACCCAACATGATGAAACCGCGTCTCTACTAAAAATACAAAAATTAGCTGGGCGAGGTGGTGCACGCCTGTAATCCCAGCTACTCGGGAGGCTGAGGCAGAAGAATCACTTGAGCCCAGGAGGTAGAGGTTGCAGTGAGCAGAGATTACACCACTGCACTCCAGCCTGGGAAACAGAGTGAGACTCCGTCTCAAATTAAAAAAAAAAATTTGATTGGAAAAATGGATAAAAGAAATGAAGACATTCCACCAAAGAGGATATACAGACAGCAAATATTACACAAAAAGATGTTCAAGTTCACTAGCCCTTAGCAAAATGCAAATTAAAGCCACAATGACATATCTATATACACTTACATGAATGGCTAAAATACAAAATAGTAACAACACCAAATGCTGACAATGATGAGGAACAATACCGCTATAAAAAAAAGCCTGTTAGTTGCTTAAAAAAGTAAGCATGCAAGCACCACACAACCCTGCAATTGCATTCCTGAGCATTTATTACAGAAAACAAAAATGTATGTTCACACAAAAACCTGTACAAGAGTATTCATAGCAGCTTCATTCCTAACAGCCAAAAACTGAAAACAACCCAGATGTCTTTCAGTAGATAAAGGGTTAAAAAAAGAGTGGTATATTCATATGATGGAATAAAAAGCAATAAAAAGAAACGAGCTATCGAAACAAAACAATCGGCATGTATCTCCAGAGAAACAGGTTGAGTCAAGATAACTTTCTTGAAGTGACAAAATTAAAGAAACAACAGATTAGTAGTTTCCAGGAGATGGGAGAGAAGTGAGTATGGCTACAAAAGGGTAACATTATAGATCCTGTGGTGCTATAACTGCTATAACATTTGTGGCATCTAACCACACTAGCAATAGTTATCATTGTAAGCAAAGATTTTTATATCTGTTTCTGTCATTAGATTACAATCTTCTTAAGGACAAGAATGTATCTAGTTTATTTTTATGTCTCCAAGATTAAATTTTTCTTAATAAGCTTATCTTTCAATATGTGAAAATCCTATATGCCTAGATCTAATATATGTCAAAACTGTATTTTTAAAAAAGAAAATCTGGCTGGGTGTGGTGGCTTACAGCTAATCCCAGCACCTTGGGAGGCCAAGGCGGGCAGATCACCTGAGTTCAGGAGTTTGAGACCAGCCTGACCAACATGGAGAAGCCCTGTCTCTACTAAAAAAAAAATACAAAATTAGTCGGGCGTGGTGGCACATGCCTGTAATACCAGCTACTCGGGAGGCTGAGGCAGGAAAATCAGTTAAACCCGGGAGGCGGAGGTTGCGGTGGGCCGAGATTGCACCTTTGCGCTCCAGCCTGGGCAACAAGAATGAAACCCGTCTCAAAATAAAAAAAAAAGAAAAAGAAAAAAGAAAAGAAAAAGAAAACCTTTCACTGAAGAGAAAAATAACAAAAAAAGACATATTTTATTTATTGAGTCTTAGACAGGAGACTGTGAAAGATACCAAACTCTTCAGAGGATTCAGACACCCAATTAGGTGCCAATACTGTCTTATGCCCAAAGGATATGCCACTCTTTGCAAAAAGAGACACTACTGACTCAATTTTCAGACTGAGAAAGATAGCACCATTTAAGAACCTAAGCTTCTCCACACTAAGCCATGCAAGCTACAGGTCATAATGACATAAACCCTCACTCCAAGTCAAGCAAACTCTGAACTATTAATATGATCAGGCTTCTCTCAGCATTTCATCCTTCTTGAAGTTTCTCTTGAACCCATTTCCTGATTCAAAAACTCAGGAGCACCTAGAAAATTCTTTCTGTCAATCTAAACATCTTTCCCACCCTCGAAGTTCCCTTTAGGATAGGTACTCATGGATCTCAGACCAATATCAAATCTAGAAATGTACAATATACTAAATGTATATGTTGGTGCAGAAGTAATTGTGGTTTTGCCATTAAAAGTAATTGTATAAAATGTATTTATTATATAAAATATTTTTGAAGCCTAGCTTTATCCTCTGAAAAAATAAGCACCTTTTGTGGCCTGACAGCAGTTTTATTAGGAAATATTTCCATATTGCAATCTTCTTTTAATGAAAGGCCCTCTCACAAGGATGACTTTCATATTACATACATTACTCCCACGATAGTTTTCAAAATGCAGATTGGTTATTAAGCAGTAATAGTTGCAAATGCAACACAGCAGCTTTGACTGGTGTTAAGCTTTCTTTACAATAACAATAGATGAAGATGGTAACAAGCATATGTAAGTTCTATGCTAATGACATTATACGTAGTGACAGGAATAAGAATAGCCATTGCTCTTAGGCAAAAGGTCATGACAATCAAATATGAATTTTCCCAATGATCTTCATGTTTTATATACATGTAACTGTTTTTCAAAAAAAAACTTTTATTAAAATAATCTTGCATTGCCAATGTAAAACAGTATGGCCTGAACTTTTTTCTAAGAAAAAAATAATTGCCATTATATTTTGATTGAAACATGATTACTGAAATCCAGCAAAAAAGACTGAGCTGTACCTTACGGAAAAATAATATTAAAATTATTCAAAGTTTTTATTTGTTTAGACCTATAAAATCATGCTCTGGGTAAGAAAAAATTTCTGAAATCCTTGTAATAGTTATGTATTTGCATAAGCTCTATTACCTTACCTGACATATTGTCTAATATGTCTGAGCCCCAATCTCCTTGAAACACTGATGTTAAAATGATGTCAAATAAATGAAGTTCCTTTGCACCAACAATTTTGTCACGAAATAAGCGCCGTGCCTCATATGCTACAATTTCTAACACATAATCTAGTGGATGGTTTGAGGATCCTAGAAAAGGCAAAATTTTATTTAATTGTAATATAATGATTTTTAAATAATATGTTTAACATAAAATTAGAAAGAAATAGCAGGTGTCTACATACCATAATTTTGGCATCAGATAAATGGAAGAAAGGAAAAAAAGTTAAAATTCATTTTGTTAATAAGTTGGTACATGTTTGTGATTACTTAAAGATGACATTAAATACTATCATCTCTAGTTGTTCAACAAAAATAATTCCAGAAAGTATACTAAATATGCTTTGCCTCAAATATAATGATTTCATTTTTCCCAAAAGGAAGTTTTAATAGTGACAATCATACACAGTTTGGAAGAAGAAATATAATAATTTTAATAAAAATATTTCTATTTAATAATATAACTTGTGATATAATACGCATTTAACTTATCTATTACAAATACAATCTAGAGAATAAATGTGCACACACACACACACACACAAGATACACACTAGCAAAACTCACCTCCTTCTAAATCATATCTAAATAAGCCAAGAACCCATTGGGTAAGAATGCAAGGAGTAAAGAAATAGTGACTATAATCATCAACTGTAAATTTGGCTCGCACCTGAAAAAGAAAATACAGTAAACAATCTTTCTACTGCCTTAAATAATAATCATGTTATAAATTTTTCAGTCTCCTTAGACTCAGAGGAATACCAATTTCTACCTGTAGATGGAACTGGATTTCAATATAAATGACTTCATTATCTTTATACTATATTTTATGCACTTAAAAACATTCTGGTCGGGCGCAGTTGCTCATGCCTATAATCCCAGCACTTTCAGAGGCTGAGTGGGGGCAGATCACGAGGTCAGCAGTTCAAGACCAGCCTGGCCAATATGGCAAAACCCCGTCTCTAAAAAAAATATAAAAATTGGCTGGGCATGGTGGCACATGCTTGTAGTCCCAGCTACTTGAGAGGCTAAGGCAGAAGAATCACTTGAACCAAGGAGGCAGAGGTTGCAGTGAGCTGAGATTGTGCCACTGCACTACAACCTGGGCGACAAAGCGAGACTCCATCTCAAAAAAAAAAAAAAGAAAAAGAAAAAAAATATATATATATACATATATTCTAAGAAGGGTTCATAGGCTTCAACAGATGGCCAAAAAAAAAAAAAAAGGCTAAAAAGCCCTGCTGAACAGAAGAATTCAATAAAAACAAACCTAACCTTTAAATATGATGGTTGCAATTCCAAGGTACTCACAGGTCTAGGTAAGACCCATTTTTTAATGCTGGGAACCATTAAAACAATTTAAGTTCAAGAAGTCACTGAACAAATCAAAGTATCTCTCTTCAATATACAACCAACCGGTAAAATGCCTGTCCCTTCCTCTCTATGGACAGAGCCATTACTCTTATTCTGATCTTGATTACTTAACATCTTTATTTTTTTAAAAAAAGGAATTTCTTGCTTTTAAACTTACCTATCCCCACTTCTACTCCAATATTATAAAAAGCATCTTCCACAAACATGTCTATAACTTGTACACGCTATTCCCTTTATCTAAGAAGACATTCTTTCACCTCCAGCAACTTGGTGAATTTCTATTAATTTTTCAAAACTCAGATCAAACTTCACCTCCTCCTTAACAACTACCATATACAACAAAGTTATTTACTCCTCCTCTGTGCTATCTCTGTAAGTTAGACATACTGTTATTGCTACATTTATTACACTGCATTAATAGCTTATTTATATGACTCAGCCCCTCATTAGACTGCGAACATTCAGTGAAAATAAACTAAGTCATCTTTACATCCCTAGGACTACTACTGGCAAGAAAAGGTGCTCAACAAATGTTTTGTGTATCCTCAATGCCTACTTTCAAGTATCTTCCCCATTTTATCTAGGAAGAATACTTTAGACATTTCCTCACAGTCAGGAAGAAAGAAAGAAACATCAAAGACTGCTTGCAGGTTTGAAGCCTGGAAGACACAAACTGATAGAAGTCAGGAAAAAGATCTGTTTTGGGAAAGAAGATAAACTCAATTCTAAATATGCAAAATTTGAGCTGACAGCAGAATAACCATCTACCACAAATGCATTCATTCAACAAATATCGAGTGCCTATTAGAAACTGTGCCATGGATACAACAGTGAATAAGGCACACACAGCACCTGTCTTCACAGTTACTCTCTACTAGAAAAGTCTAATAAACAGGAAAGTAAAGCCTGGGTGTCAACACAGAGGTCAGAATTAAAAGTAGACCTTTAGAAATGATACTAATAGACATGAAAGCTACAATTTAGATGCATATCTACCTGTTCATACACTTGTACCATAGATCCTGCTAAAAGATAAATTTTTGATGAAGAACCCCAAATAGAATGATTCTTCAGATTTTTATGTAGAACTGGTTCCAAATATGCTCCATAAATCGTTTGTAACTGCTCTCTTTCTGGGTAACTAAAAAAAATGGCATATAAGAAGAAAGCTGAAATAAATCAGTATTCCAAATTAATATTTCAATGTTAAGTTACAACAGTGGTTTTGAAACTGTGCTGCTCTAAGACCTACATATCTCCAAAGCTTACCCAGGGGGCTAAGACTAGGCTCATCGCCCCGATCCATTCTCATTTCAACCAAATTCGATCCCGAAATATCTATTGTCAAATACCAGAAGGTGTTAGAGAACCCCAAGAAATTATGTTAAAACATATCACTGATCTTCAGAAAAGACCAAAAGGAAAATTTTACTTTTGAAAAGCATTTTTGAGTTACATAAGGTCTGTACACAGGGCAGTAATCCACCTCAGAACTATAAAAGTAAAACTAATACAACAAATAAAATCAACCCCTTTCTCCCAAACCAAAATGTATTTCAATATGGTTTAACTGGCAGCAGGAATATTTCTAGAAAAAAAAAAGTTTAATTGATGGAGTACAATTAGCACAAAAGTATACAAATAAGGTTTTGTAATATTCAATATTTGTAATGTAATATAATGTATATTAAATATAAACAGAGGAGATATTGCCATAGTCTCTGTAATTATGGCCCGTGGAGATGATTAGCATTGATGCCACCAGCCATTAAAATGACCCTAATTCTCCCTTGTTCAGATTGAAATTCTCTTTTTGTTATCTTCATAAATTTGATGGTATTTTTGTTTCATGAACTGCATAAAACATTTAAATCTAAAATCCACCATTCAGACTCCTGAGATTGACATTTTGGAACACAGACTACACAAAACAGTTTCGTTTTATTTCCTGTTAAACATATCATAAATAAGATGCTTTGATTAAAGCTTTTATCATCCTAAATTATTGCCTATATTTTGAGAAGGGTAGGAAAAAATATCAGAGGTTAAGTTTGACCATTTTTATATTCTAAATTTTAAAGTATTATCATAAATACTTTAAATAAAATTCATTTATATATGATATCTTCCCAAATTAAAAAATCTGAAACACAAAGATACATACTCTATAGAACAAAGACGAACGATGGAAGTAAATCTGGTAGTAAGTTTATGTCTTCCCAGTCTTCCTCCAGCTGACATAGAAGCCACAATTTGAATATTTTCTAGACCAACCCATTCCAAATTTTCATCATAAAATCCTTGATACGTCAATACCTATTTGAAAATAAATATATTTTAAACGTTTTTTATCTAAGATTTCCTAATCATGATAAAGGATATTTTTGCCTAAGTTTCAATTATTTCTAAATGCAATCATCATCTATCTAACTCAAGAATTTTAGATTAAATGGTATCTTAAATTATTATATCACTGAAAAATAATACTGTTCAAATCTCTGTGTTCTATGAATGTTAGCTAAATTATCCTACTGTTTAAAATGCTTTTCTCTCTAATAAACACTAAAATGCAATGATATTATAAATTGAGTACAATTAGCCTAGAAAATGAAAGTATCAGGAAAAATATGAGAAAAATATTTTTGTTTTTTTCTGTAAATATTTTATCATATTCTGCAGTTACATAATAAGCCTAAAATTGGACCTATACCGTAATAAACTCTAAGAATTTATAGCTTCTAATGTGATGTAAATAACATAAAGAAAAAATATATTCCACACTGATTCAGGATATGTGATCTCAAATCCTTATACAGGCAAAAATGGAGAATAATGGGTTAAAGCAGCCAGAAAAAAACATGACCAAGTCTAACTGCAGTGAGAAGAATGCATACTTTAAAACATGAAGCAAAAATTTCTCCACCTCCACCACCATGTCCAGCTTTTGTTTTCCTCCTTGTTTTACGAATAAAGGACAAGTAATAGATGTAGAGTGAAGGCTGTTTCTATTCTCCCTGTCATGTATTATCCTGACGTAATACTAACTTCTAAAGAAAGGAAAATCACAGAAGAACTGGAACAAGACTGAAGTGTTTCAGGAGTTTAATTTCCATGACAAATGCTAGATAAAACTGGCCCCAAATGAAGAATGAATATTTTCTAAGAAAAGTTAATGAAATTAAATTGTTTCCAATTAGATTAAAACACTTCAAGCAATATGACTTACCTGTTGTAGGAATGCTACCAAAGTACTGGTCCCCCATTTATCAAGTTTAGGTAGGTTGATATCTTTTAAGTACAGAACAAGTCTTTCACAGTCTTTTGGTCTGTATACACGACCAGTATTAGTACTGATTACCATGCAAGTCTGGCTCAGTTTCTGCAGGAGATGTCGAGAAGTGGTTTGTGCACTACAGTGAACTGTAGCAATTTGAGTGGACCGGAGTTGTGAAAATGCGTACCTGAGCAGCATCCTACGAAAAATGCATGACATCTGACTTTGATAAAAATGCAACCAACAAAATACATTTTATACTCAATAAGAAATTTCTATCTCATAAATATTTCAGTTTCTAAAATGTATATGATGATAGGAAAAATGGTAAATACAGATATGGCTTCCATAACTATCAAAGCAACTTTCTTTTAGACTAGAAAAACATAAATTCATGTTTTAAGGCATTGTGAGGACTGTTTTCAGCCAAAAAAATCAAAGTTCTCAGAATTAATCTAGTTTGATAAAGTACATGTCAAATATACCAACCCTGTTTCCCCACAGTTGAAGGATTTTAAGATTTTAAGTTCCATGAGTTTAAAAAAATTACTATGATTTTATACAATTTTTAAAATTACTACTCCCCTACTAGAAATATGAAAATAATAAACCATGGTTCCTATATTTCAGGAGACTATGCTCCATATGAACTAAAACTAGGCTGAATTCCACTGAATTAAAAGCTACTTTTAAATAGAGATCTAACTTCAAATTTTAAATTTTATAACTAAAGCAAATGGTGTGTGAGTATATATAAGGCATTCTTTTTTTTTTTTTTGCTGTATTATATGGACGGATAATTTTTAAGAGTATCTTCTCAGATTGCTGTCTTTCCAGTAGAAATCACACAACCTGGAAAAGAAAAGGACACACTATTCCCCATAGTTCTTATTTTTATAAGTAATGAAAATAAAATGAATCTTCCATGAAAATGTAAATGCTACTTTAACCAAAAGAAACATAACAAAAGCCATTAAATCAATTAGGGGCGGCAGGAATAAATCCACAACATATACCTTTGCCAATATTTTTCTTACCCTTTGCCACATCCTTCTGGTCCTACCAGAATAAAGGGCTGTTTAGTATCAGAACTTAACCATGGTTTGAAATAATCTAGACCTCGTTGCATGTCAGGAGTCTGAATGACTGGAAGAGTTAAGCCGTTACTGAAATCATCAGCAGTCAAGTCTTCTGGCTTCTTAAGCACATATGTTGCTAATCGACCCCTAGTAGAGTCATAGTAGGTATCCATAGGTTTGTGAAAGTCTGGAGGAGATTCTCGTGCCCAATGAAAAACCTTAAGAGGAAAAAATTGTGATAAGTTTTCACATACTCCAGAGTGTGTGACATTTTAAAATTCTTCCAAGTAAATATCCCAAAAGTAAATCATCTTAGTTCCAAGAAAACTTTACATAAACTAAACCTATTTTATCATTAATGTAACATTTTATCTCAAATATTTTTCTCTAAATGATCATTTATGCAAGTAAATTAAAGTATATATAGGAGATAATGACATAGTGGATATTTATTTATACACTAAGGTATAAATATATTCCATTTTAATGGAGTTCTTATTAACATTAAATCACAAAGTACAGAATGCAGAAATCCTAAAGCCCTTCATTTCTGCCATATCCTGGTACTGTCCATCACAGTGTCACTACCACTGCTCTCCACCTGTTATTCTTCTTTTTAATACTGAAAACTGTTATCTATGCATATATAAAGCAGAGTTAGCCCTTAATACTATTCTTCAATACATTTATTCGGAACTTTGACAAGAGAGTATGTGCTTAAAAGCAGCATATAGTATGTCACTGAGTGGTAACAATGAGAAGCATCTGGCAACAGAGGCAACAGGACAGCCATGGAAAGGGAGACGGAATAGAGAAAGCAGTAAATGACACTATCAAAGAAGCAGCAAAATGAGAAAAAAAAGCTGTTAATGTTAGAGCCAACCCAAAGGAATAAATGTCCAATAATTTCAGTAGAGGTCAATTGGAAAAAAAATCACTTATTATTTAGAATTCAGCTTTATAAACAACTTGACTGTAATACAACTTTAACATATATTAAAGAAAATATTTATTAATAATTAATTCATCCTAATATTCCCAATTCCTAAAACTGCTCTAGTTAAAAGGATGATAAAAACTAAACTATTCTAAGATTTTTAAATGAATGAAATAATTATTAATGTAGACAAGTAGGTTCAAAAATGTCTAACTTAAAAAAGATATGGTCCAAACTTTAACTTATAAAACATTATTTTATAAAATGTTAATAATATTATCAAACATCATAAAATAACTCAAAGGAGAAAATATAAATACACATACATAAATACATTATTACTCAATTGAATACATAATTTCAAATTTTAAAAGTTCCATATCTTACAGTTACAAATCATTGTGTTTTGGCAGTTAAGAGTTAATGAAAAGTTAAAGTTTTGACTAAATATAGGCTATAAATATGCATTACCTCTTTGGTAAATTCCAAACGTGACTTCATATTCAGATTTCCACCAAGTCCCCTTATGAGATTAATAATGAATTCGTCATGATCTCTGCAACCATGTAGATGTGACAAACCATTCATCACAGTCCCAACCAAACTTGTTTCTACCACATAGTCATTCTGTTGATTAAAATCCGTGATACAAACAGACAAAAGGCAACTATTAACCAGTAAACATAGAACCATACAGACTGATGTTCACATACCTTTTCAAGAACCATTTTTAAACTCACTCCTCTATTCAAACTGTAGAAAGTTTGGATTTCATTCAATTTTTATATATACTTTGAAAATAAAAAGTAATCATGAAAGTACAATCATATATTTCTAGCTTTCAGTGCTACAGTCCTCAAATAGATACAGTTTATTTACTTCCTAAACCTGAAGAATATAAAAGAAAAGGTAAGTTAGGGAGCATTGTTCCAAAAAGAATACATGTTCATTTCCTCTTGCTGATAAAAAGAATACAAGAGCCAAGAGCTAGATTGATGGCACTAGAAAAGAAACGTTAGAAAAAGCAGGCATAAATGACAAACCACATGGAGCTTTCTCTGAAAGAATTTTTAAATGAAACTTCTGGACTTCAGTGCTGTGTAGATGCTTTGATCTGTAAGCCTCCCTGGGGTCCCTGGTAAGTGCCAGAGAGTTAAAGAAAAAATGGCTCTCAGTCTTTCTATAAATATTTACGGAGAACCAATCATGCATTAGGATCTGTATGTGGTGCCAGGTTTGTTTTTGCTTTGTTTTGTTAAAAGCTGGAATAAACAGGGTCCCTGTCTTCATGGAGCTCAAGCATAGCACAGGAAATGGTTAACAAATTGTGGTAAGAGCTACAGCAGTACAGAATGTTGTGGGAAACAGTAACTCAGATTGAGGGCTCACGGCTTCTTTAAAAAAAGGTGACATTTAAGCTAAGACTGAAGGATGAGATCTATCTGCTTATGCAGAGAATAGAGCACATGCAAAGAAAAACTTAGCACTGTTAAGGAATTAAAAGAAGTTATGCCTAAGTAAGCAAGGAAACAGTGTTTTAAGTCAGAGAAATAGGCAAGGGCCAGAGTGCAGAATTTATCAGACATGGTAAGGAATACAATCCTTATTTTCCTTGTCTTTAACATGTTTTTTATAATAGAGTAAAATTACCCAGTTTACATTTTAAAAACATCGCTGTGCTTAAAAAAATTAATATTTTTGTGAGAAAGAAGAAATAGGAGGAAGAGCAGGAAGAAAGGAGAAGAAAGAAAGAAATCTAGACAGACTCATACTGAGAGTTCCAGATTTTAAAGGTGAGATAAAGGAAATGTACATATTTTCTTCTATATTTTCTTATTTGCTGAATTCATACAAGAAAGCAAAGATTTATCCCATAGGCTGAGGAAGAGAAAAAAGAAGAAAGCAAAGTTCTAGTTATAAATACAATTTCAGCATTTGACTAGAGAATTCATTGTGGTATACCTCAGAACCTGTGCATGGTGAACAAAATACAGGATAAAAAGAAAAGAACCCTTAACACATTAAATAAAACAAACAAACAAACAGCGGTGTGACCTCAAAACATAAACCATTTTTTTTCCTAACTGAATCTTTGGTATTCACTCTATTGTTTAACAATCTTATCCTGTCGTCATTTCTACAGTCATAAACCCCTATATATACATAAATATATTCCATCTAATACGATACTCCTATTATAACATTCACACATCTATGAGCAGATTACCTCAAAGTATCTGCATTGGAAAGCCTTGTTAGGCTCTGAATGTTTTGTACTAATGAAATAACATATCTACTGAAAAGGTGTCACAATGTAGGCATCAGGTATATAATTAAGCACAATACTATCATTCATTTGCTATCACTTAATATCATACTTGGTTCTGAGGACACAATGAAGAGTGTGATAAGCTTGGTCCTTGCCTTCAAGGTGCTTATAGTTTAATGTAAACAGACAATTATAACATAGTTGGTAGATGCTGTATGTTGCTACAGAAGCACAAAGGAGGAGACAGCTCAGTCAGACTAGGAGCTAATGGGAGTGTTCCCTTTCCTAGGCCTCCAGGAAAACCCACCTCACTTGCATCGCTATCCTCACAAATCCCTATTCCTCCATTTTTCATTCTTACAAAGTCAGAAAAGAAAAAGTTTGAGAAAACGAAAACAAATCTTCATTTCTCTATATCTTGTTCAATCCTAAAGTATTGAACTCTAAATCAAGTTCAGATTCACAATCACAATCAGATACTTTCAAAAAACTCACTGCTATTTATATCCTCTATTTTGTATATGTTTTCATTTTTCATAAAAGCAATGGCATAAACATGTAGAATATCTGAACACCCTCCACGGTCTTCTTTGCATGCTAAACTTTTTTCACATTTCAAATCCAAAATCAAATGTGATCTCCTTTTAAACCTCTTCTAAATGACAGCAATATTCTCTTCATCCTGCTAAATTGTGGTTATCTGTTTGCATGTCATTTTTCTCCATTAGATAAACCCTTCTCAAGGAAAGGAATTACCTTGTTAATCTTCACCTCTCAAAGTCTCTCTTGTATTATGCTTCACATATATTAGATATTCAATGTTTTTGTTAAATATAAACACGTTTTCATTATTGCAAATAACTCACCATCCCTTTTCTAGTTTAGTGCTAACTTCATATTGTTTTTAACCTTATATATATCATATATATGTGACATATATATAGGTATTTATTGGTATATATAGGTGTGTATATATAGGTGTATATATAGGTATATAAATACCTATATATTATATATACATATGTCATATATATAGGTATTTACTGGCATATCAGTAAAAAGTGGCAGCAAGATGGTTTTTGCTAGTAAAAATTAGAAAGACATTCTAGTAATCAAGATTGTTAGGTAAGCAGTGTAAAGTATTATGAATGAAAGAAGTAAAATGTTTTAAGACTAACAAAATAAAAAGTTATGATAAGAGATATAACAGTTATGCTAAGAGATACAGAGGAGTAGCAGTGACAAAATCCACCTCTCACCTCACACCCACATTCCAGCAGAGTTCTACCACAAGGAAGTTAAAATAAGCATCACTCTTAATCATACTTCTCACCTCGATTAATTATGAAATATTATGGTTAATTTACCTGCTTTAGAACCCATTGTAAAGCCTTTTCAAAATAATCTCCAATCCAATTTTCAAGATTATTTCTATATTCAGCAGGCTGATTCCTCAACCAAGATTTTATCAGAGAATTAAGATCTGTCTCTTCATCACTGAAACAGTTTAGACAAATAAAAAATTACTTAGGAAGAAATTATCAATTTACATTAAAATAAATTTCTTCTCCAATAAACATTATTCTACGCACATATTTTGTCTGCTAGCATACAAAAGGTGGCTTTAGTTACTTTACTATGAGTATGTGTGAATAATACAATTACATCTGTGTGTGTGTATACATACACATAATATATACAAACACACATGCATATAGGTATATATACATATATATGTCATTTTCTATAAAACAAATACATTTCATCTATTTTATTATAAATATAAACTAAACGAGAATTATATATCTACACAACCTACTCTACATAGGCTCTACATAGCCTAAAGTGGTCTCAACCATTCCTACTCAGAGTGGTCTGTTAGAAATGTAAAATCCCAAATCCCTCTCCAGACATACTAAAGCAAAAATCTTCATTTTAATAAGACCCCTTGATGATTCAAATGCACATTAGAGTTTAAAATGCACTGATCTAAACTGTAATACAGATCTTTAGAAACACTTTTTCTCTATCCTATAAAAATCCAACTACCTAAATTCCCATGCCACTATTAAAATTTAAAGATCTTCCTAAAGCAAACTATAATTCCTTTAGCAAAGCACATAATTATCTGGGTAAAATTCAATTATTTCACCAAAATCCAATTGGTGAAATAATAGAGATTCACATCTTATTCAAAATTATACCTTATATAATTATAAAAAACTATAGTAAAAATAATTCATATTATTTTAGAATTGACAAGACCTCACGATTTTTGTCATTTTTTCCTATCTTCCACCATTGTTTCATAGCAAATTAATAAATGACACTGATGCCTTGAATCTCTGCTCTCACATTTTCTATCCAGTCTAATATGAAAAAAATTGAAATATCAAAGAGGTTAATAATTATATAACATTAGATTAGCCCAAAGTAGGCCAACCAAAGATGCTAAGCTCCTTCAGAATAAAGAGTTTCTTACCAATGGTATTTTCTCAATGTCTATGAGACTACATGTCTTGGTTTATCCAATACAACACTGCTTCATACCAGTTGTCCCAGAATCATTAATAATAACATTTATTTCAGTATTAAAAGGTCCACATTTGGCCTATTACATAGCAAGTGCTCAACAAATATCTGCTAAAGGAATAAAGGAAACCTAAAACTAAGATATAAGCTGAACACATAGCAACAAAAAAAGTTAATATGTATTTGTATTTTACATGAAATCATATACATTCATTATGCCTTTCACAAACAATACCTGATTCACCAACAATTTTCAACTCCTCTAAAGCAATGTCTTATTTTCTGCTAAATATTAATAGTATTCTACTTACTGCTTAGTTCACTTATATTCCACTTGTATAAATTGTATAAATTTGCCTCCTCTATGTGAAAGTATTTTCCAAAAAGATAAGCTCTCTACAAACAGTTTTACTCCTTTCTAGCTCTCTCTCTCCTCAGGTGCGTAATTTAATACCATATATATAATATTTAACAAGTACTTTAAAATTTAACTAAAAACTTACCTTTATTCTATTTTTCTCACAAGATTATAACACAATTAATAAATATGATAAATTGTGTGCAAATGCTGCTATGAAAGCAGTAAACCCAAAATTATATTATCTTTTAATAATACCTCAAAATATCAATTGAAGCTTCTGGCTAATTTAAAGTAAATGTTTCCTACAATACTGTCAAAAAAGTAAACAACTAAATAATTTCAAAACATGATTTGAATCAACTTTATTACATTGTCATATGTCATACAACACCTAAAATGACTTTAAATGGTACTAAAAAAAATAAAATGCTACAGTATGATAAATAAAAATTGGAAAAGTAAAATAAAAGTTTCTTACTTATGCCAAAATATTACTGATTTTCAAAAATAAAATTGGTGCAAATGTCCATGCTCTGGTATGTGACTATTTTACATGATATCTAAAATTGGTTTATTATTCACTTTCAGTCTTTAAGCCTCTTCCAAATATACTGAAGAAGAAAAAAAATATTAAGTAAAGAGGTGTTCAATTTGTAAAATGAAAAGACTGGGTCATTGGACCTAATAAACCTGAATTAGCCCTAAAATTCTGTGAATCTAAAATTAAATAGATTTAATTAATTAAATTCTAAAATTAAAATATTGCTACTCAGCTTTAAATTATTAGCTCATAATATTAGCTCATATTAGCTCATAATTAATATGTTCACTTCTCTGAAATCAGTCACAATATTTCAACAAAATAATAAACAGACCAAATTTTCTTGCTGTTTCATTTAAACAAATAATTATTTCATAATTGTGATACAACTAAAACTCCTAAAATAATTCAATTTTGTAATAAAACAGGAACTCTCTGAATTAATTAAAACCTAACAAAAAAGAAGTTAATCATAAATGGGAAAAATATGTATTCATTATTCACACTACACTTATTTTACTTAATATGAAACCAGGACAGTAAAAGAATATTCTAATATACTGTATATAAATAATCTATGGCTTACCTAAGAAAGATCATTCCCATTCTAGATATTGTGGCTGGTGATGCACAACTTAAATCATGAGTTTCAAATACAAAGTTAACATTTGGGCCAAACTGAATCCTTTCTCCACTGGGCATAGTCAGCAGTCGATTATCATCCAGAACAGAATTCAGAGATTCTATCCATTCAGGGTCAATATCACCATCACAGATTATCCATGAGCTGACATCTATTTTCAAATCAAAACAGTGGAGACAAAATAAAAATATATGCAGTGATAATAATTAAAAATAAGGACTAAAACAATTCTTAATTTTCATATGAATTTGTACTACAAATATGCTGAAGAACCCATGCGCAATCCTGGCTCAGCTGGCCAAAGACTCAGATATATATCATGTAATAATACTTTATCTATAAACATACAAAATAGGCAATTTCACTAAAAAAAATGCAAGGCTTAGGTATTTTTATTCCCACAAGATATTCTTCAGACTTTTGTCTTCTACTATGTTATGAGAATGTACGAAGGCTTGCTCTGTTGTATATCTTTTAGAAACTACAGAAAATCCAATTTCCAGTTCCCTGCATGAGAAATAAAAAATTCACCACTGTCAAATTTTCTTGACATATAAAAAGGTGACCTCAAAGGGGGAAAAATAGTGACCAATTGTATACATAGTCTTTCCAGGATAAAACCTTTTTTATCCATCTTTCCTAAAATGGGAGTGGTTAATACTGTACTTGGACCTTTGAAACAATTCAAAGAGGAAAATTTCACTGATAAAAGTGTTAGAAATACATGAAGGTAATAACTGGCCTTTACTTAATGTGGTATTATATAGAAAAAGAAAAGACTACATTGAAAATCCCTTCCAATGCTTTCACTTACTGCCTTAGAAAAATAATTATTAATTAAATTATAACCTGGCAAAAAGTAGGGAGTCTCCTCTGATTCCAGCCAAAAATTCTCTTAAAAAACCAAGTCAACAAATTTAGACCAGGAAATCCGCAGTTTTACCACTTAAATTTTCAAAAGTATTCAAAATACTTTATTCAAACTAATGAGTTAATACTGTTCATACACACCAATTTTAACCCCAAACAAAAATCTGTCATCTTGTTTATTTCTGAGGCAGTATAATATCAACTCAGCAAAGATTTTATATTCATTCAGTAAATTAATCTAGTTGTGAATTACAATTCACCCAACTTACTCTAAGTTTCTATTATATTAAAAATAGTTACAGAGTTTAACTGAAAATGATAGCATGTCTTGGCCCCCTCCAAAGTAAAATATCAAATGTACATCATTTTAACTTAATTATGACTTTATGGTCATGTAGAAGTCTTGACAAAGACAGCATTATAGACAAATTATATCATTATCTAAGAATTACTAAGTAAAGCAAAGAAGTATACATAGAGACTAACCTTGAGGTTCCCGAACCACTTGACGAGCACTATTTGTCAAAACACCATCAGACCATTCTCTTGTGTCCATGTCAATATGGCCTAATAATTGATATCGAGGCATAGCTTTGGGATTCATAGTATATTGTTTCACTACTTTGCCAGTTTTACAAAGCGCAGCCCTTAACATTCTCCAAAGCGTTGATTTTCCAGCACCACTTGGACCAACAATAACAACTCCCATCCTCTGGCATAACTGTTCATACAATTCTAAAGCCTTTTTGATCTAGTAGGAAAGAAATATGTTCATATATGATTTATAATATTCAATCATACTTAGTTCTGCTTTTATTCTGTAACACTTGTTCTAATGTGTAAATTAAGCCTTTGATTTCTTCAGTGGAAGGTATTGCCTAAAATGTAATAGACTACCTAAATAAATCTGAACATATTTACAATATAATCTTTAAATACTTCAATATTTCTTTAAAAGAAACAAAGGTGCTTTCCAGGTTTCCAAGTTCAAAAAACTTGTATGAACAATTATGTTCGTTACTTGCTCCACTCATTCACTCATTCAAATATATTCATTATTTTATTCACTTATTCATTCATTCATTCATTCTTATCTTACTTCTCTCCAAAACTGAGGGCAAAGTGCTAATTTTGGACAATTATTTGCACTACATAAAGAGACTCACTTAAAATCCTAATAAATTATCAAAATGAAACTAAATCATATATATAATCAATTATAAAAAAATGATGAATCCATTACACATTAGGTACTATAACAGGCAATAGAAATGAAATGGTGAGCAAAAATATATATGGATGGCCAGATGCGGTGGCTCAGGCCTGTAATCCCAGTGCTTTGGGAGACCAAGGTGGGCAGATCACCTGAGGTCAAGAGTTCGAGACCAGCCTGGCCAACATGGTGAAATGCCATCTCTACTAAAAATATAAAAATTAGCCAGGTGTGGTGGTGTGCACCTGTAATCCCAGCTATTCAGGAGGCTGAGGCAGGAGAATTGTTTGAACCTGGGAGGCAGAGGTTGCTGTGGGCCGAGATCACACCACCGCACTCCAGCCTGGGCGACAAAGCAAGACTCTGTCTCAAAAAATAAAAATAAAATATATATATACATGGATCCTGCCTTTCACGGAGATTACTTTATGGTGGAGGAGAATCAATATTAAACACACAAACATGAAACAAGAATATTTGATAAGAGCACACAGCAAGAAGATCAAATCAGGACTTGAAGATCTGGGAAGACTTCCCTGAGCAAGTGAGATCTAAGTTGAAAGATAAAAGATAAGTTGAAAGATGAAGGACAAGGATAGTTAATAAGGAATCAACTAGGAAAAGGGATCAATCTATTATAAAATATTCTTGACAGTTACCTGATTGGGTATAATTTCATAATTGGCCTCTTCAAAGACCTGCTTTAATGCAGCACTTAGTTCATCATATTCCACTTCTTTCAATTCAATTCCCGGAAAGACATCTTTTATCAGTGCATCAAACCGGGTGCAATCAGTAAACGTAAACTTTGACATGGTATTAAGCCTCAGTGCTTGTACCACAATATGACTTTCATTAGCTAGAAAAAAGTTTCATTTTAAAATTATTTATTATTACTTTAATGATGAAAAAAGTTTTTAAATATTCTATAGCCTTGATATGCATTATTAATCATTAAATGCACTAGAATTTAGTAACATTTAAAGACATTACATCACATGAATTGGCAAGCTTACTTTAATATCTTTTGACTGCTAAAAAGTAAATATCACTAAGTACAGTTATAAACTCTTTCCCATAGAATTCAGATCACAGGGTACCAAGACTTTAATTAATAATAAAAATCATTATCACTAATATTTGCATAGTACTTCACCTTTTATATTATATGATGTAATCCTTTTAACAACCCTATAAAGTAGGTTAAAAAGTATTACTATTGTTATTCCAATTTTACACATGAGAATGTTAAGTCTCTGAAGGTTTAAGTGACTTTCAGAAAAGGCACAGCAATATTACAGCTAAGATTCAATTCCAGATAAACTAATTCTAAATTCAGGTGCCTCTCCAAATATACCAATATCGTCTCACAGTTTATGTCCTAAGATAAACAACTAACAAACTGCGCAACAATCTTTGATCAGCCTTGTTCAAATTTGGTTCACAAACCCATTCTTAAGCCAAATGCAAATACTGATACCACTGCCAGACTCTTATTTTCACAGATATTAGCTGCTGATTGGTAAGATACATAAAGTCAAAGAAACTATTTGCCTGGCATTTCCTCTATAATTGCTTAATATTTCCATGCTTAAGTACACATAAAAAGTCTGGACTTCTCTAAAGCTTATTTCAAGCACTGAACTCATAAGCCATCTTTACTTATTACAGGTATGGTTTAAATATTTCTTAAAAATCACCAAATATAGACAATTAAAAAATAGTAACATAAACACTCACAAAATAACTATATCTACCCAGGCATACGCCAACCTAATAATACAGCTAATGTAGATGCCATTTTTAAGAGACACACTTTGATCATTTAAAGTCCAAAGAGGTAATTTCATGTGGTCCTTTTTTCTATGTTGTCTCTACTTTCATAGTGTTTTAACTTAGTTTTCAATAGCAACCTGAAGAAACTGATTATTCAGCCTTTCATGAACGTATACCTCCACAGGTGGGGGAAATCATTATTTTTATGTGAATAAAAAACCATTTTTTTATATGAGGAAAGTATAGCACATATATATGAGTCTGTATTGAGCTAAATAAATGAGTTAATGAATACATAAATGAGGCAGAAAAGATAAATCTTCATTACAGAAGAATTTCAAATAATATATGAAGATACTACCCCCCACCCCACCCCACCCCCCCAAACCCCGCAAGGAGTGGAGCTTAATCCTTTCCTTGCCACTCTGAGAGTAAGCTAGATTTATTAACATGATTCCAAAGAATAAAGCCAGGAGGGTAGAAAATAACTTCACATTGGAGAAACCTGGCAACACTACCATAGCCAGGTGATGAAGGTTAACATAACTAGTGATGTCATATGGTTGTTATATACCCACTGATATGACGCAGTAAGAAAGACACTCCACCTCTGCGGTATTCTTTCCAAACATTTATAACCTAGTCTAATCATAATATACTAGCTTTAGAAAGAGAAAATCCTACATGTGTTTCTAAGGTTTCTGTTCTTGTTTCAAGACAAGACAAATTATCAGGCTCTACTCTACACCTACTGAATCAGGACCTTTGGGGGTGGGGTCTAATAATCTGTTTTAACAAGCCACTGGGTGATTCCAATGGACATTGAAGTTAAAGAACAAGTGGACTTTACATATTACAACTATTTAATATTTAACACACATTAAAAGTTATAAGACGTCAGGTAAAAACTGGAGAAAACCTGAATAAAGTAGGAAATTTAGTTTAAAAACAATGTATCAAAGTTGATTCATTAGTTGTGACAAATATACCACACTAATGAAAGATGTTAACAACAGTAGAAATTGGGGCAGGGTATACAGTAATCCTTAATATTGTATCTACAACTTTTCTGTAAATCTCAAACTATTCTAAATTAACGCTTATGTTTTTAAAAATAAGTTAATGTATTTGGAATAATCAATCATACCATTCTGTGTAGTGCCACTTTTGTTTAGCTGTCTAAGGAGATTTCCACTTCCTCTCAGAACTGTCTTCAAAGCTCTCAAACCCCAATCATAATGTTGCTGAGGTGTCAAAAGTTCCCTGAAATAGAGACATGGAAATCAACACATCAAATAGCTAGAAGAAATTACTTTCATCATAACATCCAAAGAAATACAGAATATAACACTGACACATAGAAATGAATGTTGATATCCCATTAATTTATATAAGGGAAGCAACCACACAAAATAATCATTCAAGTAAGCTGTTAAAGATGGACGGTTCTCAAGGGTAGGATAAAGCTTTTATGAACAAGCTAATTATCTTAATGAAGACACCAAATGACAATTACCTGTTACCCTAATGCCTAAAGCCTTTAATCAATCCATCTTGCTCTCAATCTCTGACACTGTCTAGTTCACCATTATCTCTTAAGTGATATGGAAGAGAATTGTACATTGTCCCAAAGAAGCTAAATGTCAGTTTCTATTACTAGAAATAAGACATAAGAAAAATTGTGAAGGATTCTTTCCAAAGAACAGTAGTTTGTGAGTGGTCAGCTGATAAATTAGTTCAGTAAGAATCATTTAGCTGAAGCACTCTAATATAAACATTTTGAAGAAAAAAAACTGATCAAATTAATAATATTTAAGAAAAGCAAGTAGTTTTGAACCAATATTTTTATGTGCATGCTAAAGCCTTTCATAGCTACACTATAAGTACAATAAAATCATCAGAATAAAAATCATGCAATAGGTGAATTGAGAAAATATGAAAATGATCACTAATAACCAAAATCAATCATTAGAAATGTAAAATATAAAAATATTTAGAACAAGAAAACTCACCTAGATAGATTGAAAATAGCTACCAATTTTCTGCTCAATACTTTAGCGTCTTTAAAGCCTTCCGAATAGAGAATAACTTCTGCAATAAGCTCATTGTCTGGATGAGACATAGCTACGGGCCTGAAAAGCTGTTTAAGATTATCAGGCAGTTTTTGTCTTCCTCCATAACCTTTTCCAGCAGGATTCATAGTGATAAAAATTCCAGAATTAGAATTTACTTCTACCTGAAATATTAATTAAAAATATTAATTTAAATATTAAATATTAAGTTAAAATATTTAACATATAGGCATCGTTTATATTTGAAACTATAAACATAAAATATGCTGCCAACAGAATTTTATTGTGACATATTACTACACATAAATCTTATACCTTAGGTAAAGGTAACCTCCAATGTACTAACCATCTCCTTACTCAATATATGATAAATTCCTTAAGACCTACACTGCTTTGCAGAGTTTATTTACAATCAGTTTTTTGAGGCTGAATGTTTAAGAGATACTAATTTCATTATCTATTTATACATTAAATATATGTTTACTAAAAGCCTTCTTAGTACTAAACACTTTGTTAAGTACACAGAGACAACTGAACTAAATAATACTTTAAGCCACTCTGGAGCTCAGAGTCTATCTGGTATTACAGAGAGGCAATCATAGTGTAATAAATATTATGACAGGGAAGAACTGAATGTGATAACAGCACTTAGTAGGAGGATTTTCAGCAAAACCCTAAGAATAGAAGCTAAATTAGAATGTGTAAATAATGAATGGGCAATTAGTAAGTAGAAGCATCTAGAGTAGAAAAACCAAGAAATCTAGCTACAAAGGAAAGAAAAGAGAAAGAAGAAATATAAATCAGGGAAGGTTTGTTTATGTTTTAGTTATTATTAAGATGAAAAAGATGTGATTATGTTTAAAACCTAATGAGGAATTGGTAGAGGAGGGAAGACTGAAGCTATAGCACAAGGGATAATAAGGTCCCAGGGAAGAGGATTCCAAAGTACAGGTGAAAAGATTAGTACTGGTTGGGAGAAAAGACAACTCTTTCTTTGTAAGAGAAGAAAAAAAAGTGAATGTAGAAGAAACTAAATCTTGAAGGCAGGTAATTCTCACTTAATAGTTTCTTCTCTTTTTCTTTGTGAAGAGTTTAAACATCACATAAACAACATGTTAACAATTTAGAACTGGTCTTACATTCTTGGGCTACCTAGAAAACTATGTACTGTTAAAATGTTATTTTATATAACATGATAATTTCTTAGTTCTTACAACTTCCTGTATTCAGCAATCCACATTATATAAAAAAGTTTACGTTTTCTGTACAAACGAATTTATATTCTAGTGACATTAATGTATATCTCCTATTTGGAGAAGTGAGGAACAAAATAGCTAAGTGTTTGTTGTTTTAACATTCATATAGAATAATGATCAAAAACATGTGCTTCATTCTGCTCCTATGCTTGAAGGTTAAACAAAAAAAAATGTGCTTCAGAATTAGACAGACCTGGGTTCAATTCCTAGCTCCACTTCTTACTCTTACTTATCAAGTCCTAGTTTCTTCAGCCACAAAGCAGGGAAAAAAATAATAGCACCTACTTCAAAGGGTTGTGGTAATTATTAAATGAGACAATACATTAAGGCACTGTGAACAATGTCAGCACAGACAATAGAATAATATATAATACAACAATATAAATATTATTATAACTGAATTATCCAAAATGGAAAGTTTAAAAATGAATAATGGGCTGGGTGTGGGGCTCACACCAGTAATCCCAGCATTTTGGGAGGCCGAGGGGGGTGGATCACCTGAGGTCAGGAGTTCAATACCAGCCTAGCCAACATGATCAAACCCTATCTCTACTAAAAATACAAAAATTAGCTGGGCGTGGTGGCGGGCACCTGTAATCCCAGCTATTCAGGAGGCTAAGGCAGGAGAATCGCTTGAACCTGGGAGGCAGAGGTGGCAGTGAGCCAAGATCACACCACTGCACTCCAGCCTGGGCAACAAGAGCAAAACTCTGTCCCCCAAAAAAAAAGAATAATGAAAGTAGGACCAAAAAAGGGTAAGAAACCTCAGAAACGTTTTATAGCTAAAAAAATCTTACAACACAGGTTACAGATTAGAAACACGGATGTCAGGAGAAATAAAAAGAGAATATTGCTTAAGTATGAGTAATATCAAGTCTTACAAAATATTTTAATTCTTTAAATTCCCAACATATTCTATACCTCCTTGCCAAGCAGTTCACATACAGTTCTATGATTCTTCAAAGCATCTTGAATTGTCTGGATTTGCATAGAAACTGCTGACAGTACAGATTCTTCCAGCCTATTAAATTCATCAAAACAACCCCAGGCCCCACACTTCACCAAACCAACAAATATTCGTCCCATTGACTTCACATCGATGCCCTTAAAAACAACAATAAAAATTATAGTCATTAAAAAATAATCAAAATCTCCATAACTACTTAATATTTAATGTTACTTATTGATAAGGTGATAATTTATCCCATCTATGCCTCTTTTGCTCATTTTAAAATACGGATTAAGTAGCTACTCTTTCAAAACCCAGGTTGATTTCAAGGGATAAACAAAATAATGCATGTGAAAGTGTTCTAAAAAGCTTGCAGAAAAAATACAAGATTTGTGTTAGTTACTCTTTAAGTCAAAATACAAATTACATACAAAATGTTTTTAAAACTGTCATCTGAAATGAACAGAAGATTTTTCCTTTTGTATTATTCTCTTTACTAAAAACATTTTTCTTCAATGTAATATAAATCTTCATTCTGTATTTAAAATTATTTCTTTGCCATAATTCTTAGAAAAGTTTTGGACTATACTACGTACAACCTCTGTCCATTTTACATTTCAATTTAAACAAATTCTGTCTTCAACTAATTTAAATGTAGTGATTTTTAAGTAGAGTATTTCATATACTAATAGAAACTAATCTAAATATGATTAACCCATTGTTACATATTTTGATAATTATTTATTCTACCTCATCACAATTAAAGACTAAAACTTGTCTTCCAAGAAGTCCACCTAAAGCCTTTACTGATTCCGTTTTCCCAGTTCCAGCTGGTCCATAAGGATTTCCTCCAAGTCCCATCTTCATGGCTTGAGTGAGAGTTAAGTAGCACTTGTCTGTCAGTGGAGTATAAACCAGTTTGGAAGCATTACCCTATACAAGAACAACACAAAGTCAGAGTATTCATGTTCTATTCAACATTTACAAATATTTTTACAGCATGAGATTGTAGTTAAAAAGATAAAAATGCAACAAACAGGTTAAAGTTTTTAACACAGAAAAATATCCAAAATTTTTTCTAGTGAAAGAAGCTTTCTAAACACAAGCTGAAATCAAACTTATTTTTCAAGAAAGTATTTCATACTATACTCAATACATTGTTAGGTTTCAAAATTGTTTCTCAAGTTCTTGTTAATGGCACAAAGATATACTTCTAAGGAAAAGAAATCCAAAATTATTATACAGTAATCATCCCATTTCATATTTTAAAATTTATATAAACTATTTCCTTGACTCTTATGATATCCACAAATCAGAACTATTTTGGAGATCACAAAGTGTAATGAATTTGAAAAATTCCTTAAGAAATTAATCATGTAATTTATCAAATAATTCTCAAAGTTTCTACTAAACTGTAGGGAAAACAGACTCCCATTCCAGCTACAATTTACAGTGTGTTTTTCCTCAATTGAGGTAGATAGATTTGGGTCCCAAATACATTTCCCTTTTGAAAAAGCCATTTGGCAGCTCTCCTAACATAGGTTTATTAACAATATTTTCAAATATATTTTGATGATTCATTCATTATGATAGAAAAAGGCAGAGGCAACAGGTGGAATTTTTGAGAACATGTTTACATTAACTAGGTTATTTGTCTGAAAATTTTTTCATCTTACAAACTAAAAAATATTTAGCAAACATTTTAGCATATTTAAAATAACACTAATTTTTGCCTTGTATAAGGAGACACAAACCAAATTGCTTTGACTGAGGTTGTCTATATTCAGTTCTCCTTGGATGAAGATATATTTCAAATTGTATATAAATGCAACTCCAAGAAAAGGTACATTTTTGAGAATTCAGTACAATACTAGCAATATTTTAACTTTTTTGTATATAGAATGAAGTTTCACTTTTTTCTTATGTGACACCTTTCTAATTCTGATTAAACAAGACAATAATACTAAAAATATTATGGAAAAATTACTACTTAAATAAAAAAGTATTTCTACCAATAACAAATTTTCTTTACAGTAAATAATTTCTAATTGGAAATATAAAACACTGCCACAACTCATACCTGATATTCATAAGTATACTGAAATTCAGAATCCACCATTTGAACACAACATGTATGATCACTTTTCATATAGAATCTAAGTTGTTTTTTCCAAGCCCAGTCTTCAGTTGTATGAACCTGAATTTGGTTTAACTGCTTTACCACATCAATATTATGGATAATGTCAAGAATTAGGGCTTTAAGTTTAAGCTCCAGGATGCCCGATTCTAGGCAGAAATAAAAATATTGACAATTGGAGAAAATGTTAGCCTGTGATTTATATAATTTATGATTACGTGTACAGGTGATTTCTCCATGAATTTAAATGGTAATTTCATGACACATATGAATGGTATAGTAATACAAATCACATAAGCTAAAAAAGTCAAATCTACCAGTAAGTAAAAAATAAGAATTTTGAGTATAAAAATTAAGATATCAAAATTCCAAGAGAAAAGAGTTTCAGTTCCTTATTCAAGGGAGTAAGCAGACTCCACTCTGCTTCTCCCTCTGAATGCAGGCATAAAAACCTGTTGGACAACATACATTGAACTGCTATTTAGAACTCTGAAAAGAGTAGCAGGCAGGTTGAGGAAGACCAGAATTAGAAGAGACACCAAACCAGTGGTGGATTTACCATTGTATTTTTCCCCCCTTCTGGCAACGCTAGGGCCATACCCAATGCAGCCAGAAACCGAAACTGGTGTAGACAGATCTCTAGAAAACCACCTCTAGCTCAGGCTTTAGAAGGAAAGGGGTCTTCTGCTAGCTATCCCACTGGCAGCTGGGACCCAGAAGTCCCTAAAACTCCAGAGGAGCTGTGATCCCAAGAGAGTAGGTAAACCCAAATTGCACAAAAGTGTGCAAGAAAATAAAGTACATGAACCCCAGCTTTCTGGCCAGAGAAACAAAACAGAAGGCTGAGGGAACCATAAAATGCTGGGAAGATCATGGAGAAGAAGGAGATTGAAAAAATAACCCCATAAACTTCTTTAGGAACTCCTGGACTCATTCCCAAGGTGTGGTGCATGAATAGATCTCATTCTAATCAGAAACCAAAGACTGGAATTGGCTACGAGGGAACACATGTGGGACAGACTGAAATAGCACTGCAAAGATTTGAAAACAGACTGACACCAGAACCATAACCCACAGAAAGCTGGCTAGAACTTGGAATCTGAACCCAACAGGATCAGTTACTAAAACAAAAATATCAATGTTCTCCAGAGGATTTAAACAAAACCCAAACCCTCATAACATAATATTCAAAATATCCATGGTATCATCCAAAATTATTCAACATGCAAAGAACCAAGAAAATCTCAATTCACATAAGAAAAGACAATAATAAGTACCAGTATCTAGATGACATACCTGTTGAGGTTATCTGCAAAAGACTTTAAAGTACTATTATTGCCGGGCAAAGAGGCTCATGCCTGTAATCCCACCACTTTGGGAGGCCGAGGCAGGAGGACTGCTTGAGCCCAGGAGTTTGAAACCAGCCCGGGCAACATGGCAAAACCATGTCTCTACAAAAAATAAAAAAGTCAGCCAGCCATGATGACACATGTCTGTAATCTCAGCTACCCAGGAGGCTGAGGTGGGAAAATTGCTTGAGCTCAGGAGGTCAAGGCTGCAGTGAGCCACAGTCTCACCACTGCACTCCAGCCTGGATAACAGAGCAAGAACCTGTCCCCGCCCTCCAAAAAAAAAAAATACTTTAAAGCCCTATTATAAAAGTGCTCTAAGAAGTACAAGAAGTAAAAGGTGAAGACTTTTGAAACAAGTGGAAAGACAGAATATCTCAGCAAAGGAATAAAAAATATAAATAAATAGAAATTTTAAAGCTGAAAAATTCTTTGAAAATCACTGAATGGACTTAATATTGAAATGGAAATAATAAAGGAAAGAGGCAGTGAACTTGAAGACAGAGCAGTAGAAATTATGCAGGCTAATAAAGAGGAAAAATCAAAAAAAAAAAAAAAAAAAAAGGCAGCGCCTCAGAGATCCAAACCCATGCCAAAAGGTCTAACATCCATGTCATGAGAAACTCAGAATATAGGAGAAAGAGTATAATACAGGAAGAATGTTTGAAGAAATAAGAGCCAAAAGCTTCCCAGATTTTGGTGAAAAACAAATGTACAGATTGAAGCTGAGACAACCCCAAAGAGAATAAATGCAAAGATGTGTCTATATCATAATCAAACTACTGAAAACTAAAGAATATGAGAAAATCTTGAATGCTGCCAGAAAAAAAAAGTAATGTATTACTTATAGAAGAATAACAACTCAAATGACTGTGGATTCCTCATCAGAAAACATATAGCTCAGATGGAAGTAGAACACTTTAAATGCTAAAAGAAAAGAATTGTTAACCCAGGATAGCCAGTGAAAAATTCTTCAGAAATAAAGGTAAAATAAGACATTCTTGGATGAAGGAAATCTATGTGAATTCAGAGTTAGGACACCTTCTCCAAAAGAAACACTAAAAGAAGTTCTTTAGACAGAAGGAAAATGACACCAGAAGGAAACCTGGAACATCAGGAATAAAGGAAGGGCAACAAATGGTAAACATCTAGGTATATATAAAAGATTGTTCTCCTCGAGTTTTTTCAAATAACTTTGATGGTTAAAAGCAAAATTTATAACATAATCTCATGGAGTTTTCAGTGTATGTAAATGTAAAATATTAAGACAACTACAATATTAAAAGGAGAGGATAAAGAAGCCTATATGGTAGTAAGGTTTCTATATTCTATTTAAATTAGTAAATTACTGATTCAAAGTACATTATAAAAATTTAAGTATATATGTTGTAATTCCTCGAGTAATCACCAACACAGATATACAGTCAAAAACACAATAGGTAAATTAGGATAGAATACCAAAAAATAACCCAAAACCAGGCAGAAAAGGGAATGTCTTTTCCATACCAGTATTCCCTGGATCCTCAGAACTTGTATCAATGTTAGTATATTGCTCTAACTTATTCACCAGTTGTGTTTCAATCTGATGAAGACTATGATCTTTAATAGCATTTTCTACATCTTCAGTGAATTTAATCTGCTCCGCCAAGCATAAAATCTATTGAATAAAGAGAAAAATTATTTTTAAAAGGTGAATTTACTTAGAAATATTTTATAAATTTAAAGAAAGGCACCTTTTTTCAAATAGCCAATTGTATATTGGATCTCTCCATCTTAATGTCATACTGGAACCTTAAATATTAATAGAGTAATATAGTAGTAGAAAAAGTATTGTGTGATGCAGCCAAGCCTACTTCACAGAACTCATTTCATACTATACTCTACTACAAACCTATTTTTCTGGTCCTATAACCCACTATGTTTATTGTAACCTCAAAGCCTTTGTATTTTCTTCCCCTCTCTTCAGAAATGGCTTCTTTTCAACCAGTAAACTACAAAGATATCAAAGTATGATGCATTCTAATTAATAAAAGGGCAATCTTTAGCATTTCAAAATAATTTCTTAGTATAGTACTGAAGTCTACGATAGCAAAATTCCAGTATTCTCCTAAACTAAGATCTGCCTTGGCCGGGTGCGGTGGCTCACGCCTGTAATCCCAGAACTTTGGAAGGCTGAGGTGGGTGGATCACTTGAGGCCAGGAGTTCAAGACCAGCCTGGTTAACATGGAGAAACCCCGTCTCTACTGAAAAATACAAAAATTAGCCAGGTATGGTGGCACATGCCTGTAATTCTAGCTACTTAGGAGGCTGAAGCACGAGAATCGCTTGAGCCTGAGAGGGGGAGGTTGCAGTGAGCTGAGATCGCACCACTGCACTCCACATGAGAGCAGGCTAAGCTGCTGTCTTACTGCAACTTAAAACATTCTGTAAATATTACATTATGGTTCTTTTATGGAAAAGAAAGCCAACTAGTAACTCATTTCTAAGCAAATTCATCGCCCAAACAAACTTTGTGGTATGAAACTCATCAGTTTCTTTAATCAGGTATATGATGAGGTATTTATGGAGAACCAAATCTGCTTTTGAGAAAAATACTTTGCTCTTTGATTTTCATATAAAAATGTTCCTTTGCTACCTTCAAGCCTAATCCTAGGCAATGCTACTGAATTTCTATATTATAAATACATATCAATAAACTTAATTTTTTACAGTCTGCTGTGTAATTTCTGTGAATGGCTAACAAAAGTTAGAGTTAAGTTACAGTCCTGGGTTATAAAATCGCATTACTGTTAAGACAGCTGGATAGGAACTAATATTATGAATTACCTAAAATGTAATGACAATTAAGTGTGCTCTGCAAACATTATGAAATAACCTTCAAAATGACTTGATAACGTAGGTACTTGAAGGTCATGTAAATAATGTAAGTGTCAAAATGTTCTACTCAGGATAACTAGCAAAGATTAATATTTAAACCAAAGTCAGATTCTTTCTACTTTACCACACTGCCTCCTTCCCATACCAAAAAAGTACCCTCTCTACCATTATTTCAGGTCCATATAAAAAAAGTAACTGAATTATCAGTACATAATAGCCAATTATGCTACTCAATTCCCTTATGTAAATACTCTTGAGATCAATATTTCTTAGCATTAAATGCTAATAAACTAGAATTCTTTATTTTAGTAGATAATGAACTATTTACATTTTTAGTAGTTCACACTTTTACCTGACTGCTCAAGGGCCTGGAGGTAAGTTGCAGGCTGAAATCCAACAACTTTCTCTAGCCTATTACCTCCCACTATATCTCCCAACACAATTGTCATTTCCCTAACCCAAATATTATACAATATTGCTTTTGTAGACTTTTTGTATACTGTGTCTTTTATTCTAAGTTGATTTATAAATCCTATCTGGAAGTTGACAGAGTACTAGGAAACATTTTCAGTGGTAATAAAGCAGTCTACTCTGGTTCTACAATGGCTTTGGTTATTCAGTGATGATTACTTATATTTTTCTCTAAGAATTTGAGCTTTTTTGAAACATTTCAGTTTGCCTTAAAATGAAAAAAGATACAAATGGCATGTATGAGAAAATGGTTCAGAATGTAAACTGTTCCAAGCTTCCATACTTACAGAAAATCAACATAAAAACCTGTTCCAATAGCCACTACATTTTTTTTTATTTGAAAAGCAAATAACTTTGAGAGCTGCTGGGTAGATTTTTCTGTAAGAAATCATGAAACATCCCAATGTCTACCATCCACAGTCCCTAAGAACTAAAGTTCCTGATGACCTACACCTGTAACAGTCTGGCCCAACTATTAAACAACGCAGGATGTTTAACACAAGTCTTAGTGCTACATTTTGATATAGACTGGTACAAATTTTGTAAGCTAAATATCTAGTACCCAGTGTTCAGGGATGAACTCCTATTAACCCTGAGCTGCAGCCATCTCTGTAATTCACCATATGACCTCACTCTCACTGTCAATATTACAGTTTAGTGTTATGACTATTTCAGATTTACACTAATACCTGCTAAGTTCCTGCCAGCTCCAATGCTTAGATGATCCCATGGGAGGGATGGACGGGTAGGGGACAACAGTGTTATAGATCCTGTGATTCTCCATCAATGATGAACTAATCATCTGGAACCAGGAAGCTATTAGATGCCTGATTCCCTCCTCCCCATCCTACTCACCACTGGCCTAGGTTGCTTGGATCTCAATTCATCCCCCACATTTTACAGCTGAAGGAACTGAGACTCAGAAGTTAAGCAATTTGTCCGTTAACTGTTAGATAAAGGGAGAAAACAGATGCGATTTATCTGAGCCTCCTGGCTTCTAGGTCAGGGATCTTTCCACGTTCCATGCCTATGTAGCTTCTACACGTAAGCCCCCTTACCTGTGAAGGGAACAGAGATGGGTCAACTGCACCTTGAGAACTTCGCCCAGTAGTAACACATTCCTTCAACAACTGTTCCAAAGTTTTCTTCATTTCTAAGGCCAAATCATTCAACCATGTCTGAAAAAGAAATTGGAAAATAATATAAACAAGACATAAAATAAACTGGAAAATAATATATATAAGACATAAAATAAATATACAATCTACTAACTCTATACTGTTATTTCAAGACGGGGTATTATACTTTCCTATTGATCATTACACTCCTAAAATGTGTTATAGGAATATAATTCTTTATTTTCTTAATAAACAGTTTAAATAATTTGAATAAAACAATTTTTTCACCTCTTAGGATAATGATGAGTGTGAAAACATAAATTTGTGGCTAACACTACCATGACTATATCTATACAAGCCAATATAATATGAGCATTTAAAAGTCGACCCATTCACTTCATCATTATGATGAATCAAACCAGATAGTTTGGCCAATAAATCAGGGTCAAAATGGCTGGCTAAGTTCCTGGCTCATGCCATCCTGATGATCTTATATTCATAAAGTCGTAACCATAGGAAGGGATTGCTTCATCAGGATGAAATGTATTATTTGGGGGCTTAGATTGCTTCATCCAACAAAACTAATTTTGTTTCAAAGTGAAAAAAAATGTATTTTTCCACTCACTTGATTATATATAAAATAATAAAAAGTTAAAATAACAATGATTGATAAACAATGAATATTTATGAATCACTTCTTAACCTTAAAAATATATCATTTGTAATAAAAAGGCAAAAGCTGCAATCTTAGCCTCTCATCATTGCGTACTTAAATAACTCTGTGTTCCAGCTTTTTTTTTCAATCTGTAGAGCATTCTCCAGTATTGAAAATAGCATCAAAATTCACTGAAGCTAGAGTGAGAATCTGCCTCTCAGTGCATGGCAACAGACACATCTACTCTGCTAACAATCATAAAGCTTCCAGAGTTTCAACTTTTCCTTTGCTGGTATACCTGCTCTAGCCCAGTTGCTAAAATTTAAGCTCTGTCCCTCTGTGTATATCCAACAAAACTACAAGAGAGGAAAAAAAACAAAACTCTTAACCAAATATGATTAGCAAATCTCCCAGGTTTTCAATCAACTGATTTATGTACTCAATATCCAATAAAATGTTGCAACCTAACCAGGAATAAACATTTTGCTAGGCTGTATGGACATGCACATGGTAAGGCATGGGCCCTGGCTTCCAGGTGGAAGATAATTTGAAATTGAAAAGTTACAATTCCATGTGATGCAATCTATTGCTAGTTAGTTTTAGCTATATGCCTATAATAGGCCTTTGATCAGTTTACTTCCAGTCCTGCAGAACCAGTTAATCAATAGTTGTTCGCTTACTTGTTCACCCAAATCATCTTATACAAATTCATATTTTAAAGAGTAAAGACAACTAAAATGTATTGAGTACCATGTTCCAAGCACTAAATAGTGTACTTAAAGCCAATTATCTCATTTAATTTTTAATTGAAAGTCTTTGCAACAGTTACAGGTTGAACATCCCTAATCCGAAAATCCAAAATCCAAAATCCTCCAAAATCTAAAACTTTTTGAGGTTGACATGATGCTCAAAGGAAACACTTATTGGAGCATTTTGGATTTTCACATTAGGGATGCTGAACTGACATAATGCAAATAGTCCAAAATCTAACAAAATCTGAAATCTGAAACACTTCTGGTCCCAAATACTTTGGATAAGACATACTCCACCTGTACTGAGATTACCATTTTACTGATTAGAAAAACAACACTGTAAGTCACATAGCTATTAAGTTGTGGAGCTAAGATTAATATCTAAGATTTTTTACTCCAAGGCCAAGGTTCTTTTCATAATTACAGGCTGCCTTCCAAAGACTACAAATCCATATTCTTTTTAATATCAAAATACTCCGAAACTAACAAAACAAATCATTTTTAAGATATGAGCTGAGTTTCCTAAAATACCTAAATTAACCAACTTTACCCTCTAAATTGACTAAATTATTTTAGACACAAAGTTCATATATAGTTAATTCTTTTTGTTTTCATATTTGAAAAAGAATTGCTTACCTCTACATTATTTGATAGAGGAACTTTATTTTTAAAAGGTACAACTTCTCCCTCTAAAGATTTCATTGCAGTTATATGTTTTGATTTCTCATCAAAGCAAACACTGTTAATACCTGAAATATAAAAGCAATGATTGAATTGCAAAAGGATTAAAGACATAATTATTAGATACAATATGTGTCACATAGTGTTAATATATACCCTAAAACATATATAATAATCAAATTATAATGTATACCACATAATATATAGTGCTCCTAGTGTTTAAATGTCCTATTGAGGGAAAAAAATCACTTTCTGAATCAATATTCTTATCACTCATCTGAAATATTTCTTATCAATATCTATCTATATGTGACAGGATTCACTGGTGAAATTTGTGAATGTTTATTTAGATATTTCTATATATGTTTGTTTATTCATTCCTACCATTTTCCAGAATAAAAAATTTAGGCAACCTAATCAACTACTACGTACCAATCAGTAAGAATTGTCCTAACTCACATTCTTGGGGGAGTGAAAAATGTTATAACCTCTTTGGAAAATGATTTGGCAGTTTCTAAAAAAGTTAAACATATATTTACTATATGACTTAGCAATTCCAAAACTAGGTGTTTATCCAATACAAATAAAAATGTATGTCTACAAAAAGACTTGTATGATTGTTTACAACAGCTTTATTCGTAATAGCCAAAAACTGGAAATAACCCAAATGCCCATGAACAGGTAAATGTGTTGAAGGCAAATAAGACTTCCCTTTCCCCCAAATTTGCATATTACTTTATAGTATATAAAAAACTTGAATATATTATGTCATTTTGATCTTCACAAAAAAACTATATTATTATTTGCAATATAAAGAAAAAACTAAATTTCAGAGAGGTAACTTGATAACCAATTAATAAACAATAGAGAAATTGGTTGAATAAAAGGGTTCTGATTGCAAGAGTTTGTTTTCTACTACTTCCCATTGCCCAAATCATAGTTACAAATATAAGCATCCTAAAGCTTCAGATACACAGGAATTGATGAATATTTCTGTACAGGACCAGAGAGTAAATATTTTAAGTCTAATGGACCATATGGTCAGTGTCAACTACTCAACTCTGCATTCATAGCATGAAAGGTATAGACAACAATACATAAACTACCGTGCAGGATTATGTTTCAACAAAACTTTACTTAAAAACAACAAGTAGTGAGCCAGATTTTGGCCCATGGGTTATATTTTGCTGATCCTTGATTATTAGTTAAAATGATGAAAATTATTTTACTTCATAAATTTAATTTGAAAAATACAGCTCTTTTCTATAGAGCTGTTTGCTCTATAGAAGAAGTCATTTGCTTGCGCTTTCCAAGTAAATTAAGTATTTTAAGAAAATAATAGTCATTATTTTGGTAATAAACCTATTCCATTTGCCACTAATAAGTATCCCATTAAAGTGACTCTACAACATCAAAGCATTTGACATTACAGTTTTCCCCCAAGTAATCTCACCTGTTCCCATAGCTTACTATTATTTCTATATGGATGACTCCTACATTCTCACCTAGGTCTCTTCACTGACAATAACTGCCTATGGAGTATCTCCACCTGTATGTCATTCAGGACACCTTAAACTCTATAAGGAAGAGGCATATTCTCCTTCACTACAGGCCTTTGCACAGCCTATACCCACTGCCTGCCTGCCTTTTTCTAACTAAGGCCTATACATTCTTCAGATATCGCCCTAGATGTCACTTACTTCATGATGCCCTAAAACTGAGCTAAATGCCCTCACAGATGGACCTATAGCACCACATACTTATGTCAATCACCAGAATTGTCACACTGTATTATATTTGTCAACTTACAACCTTGTCTCTCCCATTAAACTGTACATTCTTTGGGTACAGGAACTGTATTTGGGTATATGAACTGACTGCTGTATTCAGTAGTCTACCTAAGAGCATAATATTAGGCCTGGCAGACAGTTGAAACTCAATAAATATCTGTTAAATAAATGTTGAATCCTACCAGCAAAAAGCTTCTTCAGGTGAGACTGAATCACTGATGGGTTGGTAGACTGGCCCAATATTTCTAATAAGTCATCATCACCAATAAAATAAAATCTTGGGAATGCTGAGCGTTTTTCCTAATAAAAATAGAAACAAAAAATAGCTTTCTTTTTTTCAGATAATTAAGATATCAAGTACTTTACAATTTATTATATATTTTTTTCTTAAAAAACATGCCTCCAAAAATTCATTTAATGATTTCTGACATCTTTGAAGCTGATCAAGTATTGTTAGTAGAGAATTTCTTATTCCAGCATGAGTAGTTAATGTTGTGACTCTATTGTCTTTCTTGATATCAGTCATTATTGATCTACAAAAGAAAAAAAAGTATCTTCACATCTACTTTAACAATTTGGGGGGGTAAGAAAAACAGATTAAGACTTTTTTTACCTGCTTAAAATGAACTAAAGGTAACACTATTATAACAGTATTACACCTCTAGGAATGTTAAATATTAATATCACACTATCATTTTTAACTTCTTATATTTTAAATTATCTTATATATTTCATTTGCTAAGCTAATTTTTTTATTTTTTGAGATGGAGTCTCGCTCTGTCTCCCAGGCTGGAGTGCAGTGGCGCAATCTCTGCTCACTGCAAACTCCGCCTCCTGGGTTCCTGACATTCACCTGCCTCAGCCTCCCAAGTAGCTGGGAATACAGGCACCCGCCACCGCGCCTAGCTAATTTTTTTGTATATTTTAGTAGAGACGGGGTTTCACCGTGTTAGCCACGATGGTCTCGATCTCCTGACCTCGTGATCCGCCCGCCTCGGCCTCCCAAAGTGCTGGGATTACAGGCGTGAGCCACCATGCCCAGCCTTGCTAAGCTAATTTTAAGCCCTACCTCATAGAGCTAATGGTCCAGTGACAGCAAAAGACATCAAATAATTTCTAGAAATATTTAAATAAAATTGTGATAAATGTTAAAAAGGAAAAGTAAAGTATTGTTAAAATGGCTAACAGGGCAACCCATAACCTAGGACTTCTTTAAGGAAGTAATTTAAATTGATATGCAGATGAAGAATAAAATGAAAAAGTGAGTGAGTAGAAGACGTTTCTGGCAAAGATTCTGGGAAGAAGATAGGTATGACCGAGAAACTAAAAGCTAGAGTCACTAAAGCAAAATGGAGAGCAGCACAAGAAAAGGATAGAGAAATGAACAAGGAGCAGATCATGCTTTATCCCTAGCACAATGGGAAACTATTTTAAAGTTTTATTTACAGGAGTAAAAGAAAGTGCTGAACCTGCATTTTTAAACAATTACTCTGGCTGTTGTGTGAAAAACTTATATTATACAAGAGCAAGTCAGAAGGTTAATGTGCGTAGTCCAAGTAAGAGATACAGAACATTAGAATAGAAGTACAGATATACTTCTGTACAGGTATTTGGCTCAAGATATACTAAGCAGGTTAGAATCAACAAAATTTGGCAACTTAATGTATGTAAAAGTGGAGGAAGAGGGAGATATCAAAGTTATCCATCATGTCTCTGCTTTCAGCAATTAGGTTGGGCCATTTATTGAAATAGGAATCAGAAAGAAGAAAGATTTGTTGGAAAGGAACTGGTAAATTAAGCTCATGGATTCAGTTTTAGCCTACTATTTGAGCATGTTTGGTAGATTTGGAGCTCAGAAGAGAAATATGGGCTGTACATGTAAGTTGAGGAGACCTCAGCATATAAAAGAGAACTGATGCTGGCAGTGGTTAAGATTACCTGAGAATACAGTGAGAAAAAAATCGAAGGCTGAGGCCTGGAGAATGACTACATCTAAAGATTTGGAGACAGCTAAGGACTAGGAACTATGTGTTGAACTAGAGAGACAGTCAGAAAACCAAGAGAGGACGAAATCACAGAAGCCAATGGAAGAGACTTTCTAAGAAAGAAGAAATGCTCAACTCTATTAAATACTAATGAGAGATAAAGTAAAATAAAAATTGAAAATGCCTTTTGAATTTAAAAGAGAAAGTAATTAGTGATTTTATGAAGTATGTATTATTAGGTAGAGTGGTAATAACAGAGACCACACCATAATGGTTCAAGAAGTAAATGCTTGAATGAGAGAATAGCTTCTCAAAAGGATCCACTAGGAAAGAATTTGAATACACAGAGGATACCAATCATGTAAAAGTAATTTGCCTGTATTAAGCACTTCACAATATGAATTAATTTAAAAAAAATACCATATGTGTCTATGTCTTACATCATTGTACTGACCTAAAATCTTCATCAACTCTGTTGAAGCGTGTCTGTTCTTTTGGCAATGCTCCACGGCCGAAAATGGGTTCCAAATACACCCACTTTCTCTGAATATGATTTAAATTCTGCAGGTATTCATCTAACTCTGCAAGTTTTCTTTCCCAAATTGATACTTTATCTTCAAATCCTTTATAATAAGGAGAATCCTTTAAGGATTGGAGAAGGCATCTATTATCTCCAACCTGATTTACTATATCTTTCCAGTCTTTAATCAGCTTCATAGTTCGACTTTGGCTGTCTTCATAATCAATTAATGTAAACACTGCTCCAACTCCCCAAAGATCAAGTTCACGTAAAGCTTCTCTGATTGTAACTTCACCTTGTGCCCGACTATTTAAATCCTATTTAACACAAAATATCCATGTTTATTACTTCAACATTAATTTTCACATAAGTAATTAATAGAAAAGTATTTTATGAAAAATATATTTTATCTGGCTTTTCACCATAAGGCAAAAAAAAAAAAGTTAAGTGGCTCTATTTTACATGCAACTCAAGAAAATTACTGGTTATTTTATCAAAGCATGTAAGATACTAAGTATCCTGGTTCACATGGTCAAAATATATACAAAGTTCTGCCTTATGCTTTTTACCTCTCTAAAAGAAAAGCAAAAAATTAAAGCATCCATCACAAAAGACAAAACTAGTTTGGTTTATTTAAAGTTTTACAGACCAAAAGGCCAATATTTGGAACAAAAGAAATTCAGAAATTATACTGTAATCTTATTGTAGATTCTGATACATCTAAAATGATTAACAATCCACTAGAGTTATCTTCTGCAACAGTCATGCTTCATAACTTCTCAAGATTATTTAAAAACATTCCAGGGTTATTAACAAACACAGAGGTTTATTTCTGGGATAGGAAATAAAACAATTTGATATCAAGAGTCCTTATAATTTTGAACGGCCAGAATGCAACACTAAAAGTCTGTCACTTGTAATAAATTGTGACAACTTTTACTTTTACCTGAGAGCTTTTCTAAAAGTGATTAGCAAACTGATTCTTGGCTTAGCTCTCTGGATTTGTGTATCCTCTAGCTTTTATGTGTAACATATCACATAATTTTTTATGTATTTTATGTAAAATGATTTGTGTTTGTTTACTTTTTGATGAAAGCTGATTCCCTTAAAGGAAGACTTTTTTTGTATTTAAACAAAATATGAAGCAATATTGTATATTAAAAAAGGCCAGACTTATGGGATATTTATAAAAGTGATTCATACTTTAAGGTCGGCAGCTTTGGCTACAATTGTATCAGCTACTCTGAGCAAATCACCAAACAGTAGTTTCTCTAGACTAGTCCCCCTAGGAAGTCCAAGGAGACGAAAAAGGTCAAGCCAGTGATCTGGAGAAAGATGCTCCCCTCTCACATATTTCAAGATAGGAATTACGATCTGTTACAAAAAAAAAAAAGAAAAAGTCATATGTATACACATATACATATATTAGCAAAATGCAAATTAGTATTTACTTTTATGCTTATTAGTTACCAAAATTTTAATTATTCCATTTTCTTGTTTAATAATCTTAAAATCATATTCTTAAACAGAATTGTATAAAGCTTTTGATTAAATGTTGCCATGGACACACACAAATTACCCTTTGTAGTTTAATATATTTTAAAACATGGCATAGACTATTTCTATTTTTATTATTATAGGATAGGACCCATGATGGACTGGAATGTATAAGCACTCTGTTTTTTAACTTTAACATAAATTTCTTATAACTTCTTTCTCATTGGTAGTAGAAATATCAATAATTTCTATGGTTTACTCTGTATTTCCTATTTTCTTCATCAAACGGAATAATTTAATTGAAAAACATATAAAGTAAAATTATATAGTTCAGTCACTACATAAGATGAAAGCTCCAAACATTGTTTTTAATTGGCAAAATAATAAAACAATCTTACTTTATATTTGTCAACCTCTGATTGTAATTTCACTGTCATCACTGAATGTTCTTCAACCTTCCTTAATCTGTCATGCCAGTTCATCAAAAATTCCTCAAACAGGTATGTCTTAGTCCTATAAAATACCAAAAACACATTGCAAAGATTACATCCAAAAATAAAACAACCAAATTATTAGTCTAAATATTGTTTTTGAATCAAACCGAAAAGTGATCCAGTCTTCATTGGCCATTTCCTGAAATCCTTGTTGAAACTCTTCATAAAAGGCCCAAATTTGGGCACAGCTCTCGATATCTTTAGAGATACTACTTGCCAGGGAGAAATTAGGCTCTTCCAGTCTAAAATGATGGCAATCATCACTATAGAAACAAATATTGAAATATTAAATTTTAAAAACAGAAATATTGATACTGTTAAGTATCATTAAGTTACTTAACTGCAATCCTTGTATGTGTGTACACACACACTTGTGTATGTTTAATAGATATACAATAAGAAACAATAAGAAACTACAATAAGAACATTAAGAAACTACCTATTTACTATGAGAATTTTACTTTACCTACTCATATATGAACTCTATAAATTCATTAATATACATTTTTTCCAAAGAAGTCAAAACTGAGTTGGTAATATAGAGAGATTTATATGTACGTAATACATATTATATATATGTAAATATTCAAGATTGTATAAATCTACAGATTGATCTGGGAAAAGAATACTCTTCTCAGTTGAAAGGGCAAGCTTCTAGAGTATAAGATATCCTTAATCTAATCAGTATAATGCCATTTAGTAATTATGGTAACAAAATTGACTCACTCCACTCATTTATGAAAGCATCTACTTAAATAGAACAAACCTAAAGCAGTGCTCAAATTTAATACTTTATATTATTATAAGCCAACAACTCATTTTTTTCTTTGAAGTTTTTTATTATTACTTATTATGCTAGATTTATTTTTTTCTCAGAGGCACTAAAAGTAATTTTTCTGAAAATTATATATATTTCATTTTTAAATAGGATAAGTTCAAAGAAAGTGACAGTTCTAACCCTGATATAACTTCTAGGTAAATCTATCTTCTAGGCCTTTCTTGAAATTTGCTTTCTCTTAATATCCTTATATAACACAACTATGACTCCTAAGACAACAGTATATGAATGCTTATTATTTGTAGTTTAAAAAGTGATGAAGTTTATGAGGAAAGTTATCAAGATAACAGACATAAGAAAATTACTAGCTTGATATATAAATTGTTTTTTCAAAATAAGCACTATCAATTTTAAAGAAAAAACATACACCAGCTTTTTTCTTGTGACTTCAAGATCATCAAACTCAATTTTTTTCTCTTTTATTAACTTTGCACTTTTATCAAGAGTATTATGTTGGCCAGTTTCAATAACATCATCACCAGGCTTTAGTTGGTCCCAACGAGCTTTAAATTTTTCCAGTTCTTGATAATAGATCTGAAGACGTGATTTCACATTTCCTTTCATCACTTCAATCTATAAGCCAATAAAATTTAAATAATTTAATGCAGAGTAAAATTTCATTTTGGGTTCATACTTTTCTTTCTAATATTTTCTATTTAAAAGTGAAAAAATATCAATGACCAATGTCAACTTTTCAAAGGATGGTTGTTATTTTAATTATTAATTCCAAGTTCAATAAAATAATTCAAACATATAAATTAGACCATAAATTTATAATAACAAGAGATAACATTCAAATAAAATCATTTAAAAATCGTTCATGTGGTTAACCGCACCTAGTACAACTAACAACAAAGGTAAGATAATTTTAAAATGTTTGTTTGATGACTGCTGATTGTTCTACCTGAGTATATAGCTGCTAAATTAAGGAAGGCATTGCCCAGTCTCCCATGCAGCTAAGGACTGGGCCCTAAGGCTAACTTCTGGTTGATAAAATATGAGTGCAGTAGATATGTGCAACTTCCAGGTTGTGTCTTTAAAAGACAGATGCTGCCTTTTTCTCCTTTTCTCTCTCCCAACCCTACTACACAGCAACTGAATAACCCATCCTGGACAATACGCTAGAGATGGTAGACAAAAAGATTGACAAAACCTAGGACCCAGACAAAGTTATGAAGCAGAGGCACCATAGCAGCTTATAGTCTAATGTGAGACAGAAACATAAGCTACAATTTTTGGGGTCTCCATTAGAGTAGTTAAACTGATATCCTAATAAATTTAGTAATTAAAGAAAACATGAGTTTCAGCAATAAGCCATACATAGTAGGTAAGCAACAGATTCATTCACAGGCCTACAAATAATGTTACATTTCAAAGACATTGGTTTCTTCTTGGTGTGATAGGAAGTAAAGAAAAACCATGTGAAACAATCATCATTTATATATTTCACTATAAAAGTAGTCAGGGAGGTCAATTTCAACAGCCACATTAAATTATTATAAACCTGGGCTATAAAGGAATAAAAGATAAGCAAGAAATCTTAAGTAAGAAAAAAGTTCCCATTTTAATAAATAATTAAAAGATTCTAACCTGGTCTTTAATCATAAGTTGGTGACTTTCCATCATTAACTCAAATTTATCCCACTTGGCTTTCAAATTACTAATTGTTTCTAAACCTCCACCAGCCACAGTTCGTAAAAGTCTGTTTTTGTCTTCAGCTTCTTGAAATAAGGGCAAAATCTAAAGGTTAAAAAAAAAAAAACAAATTGAATAACAACCTATTTTATCAAATCTCTTAAGATTTCATTTATTTTAATTTTTGTTTCATAACTTTATTTTTTAAATTAAGATTTTTGCATTTAAACAGTTTGTTAAATTCCTATATATTCTGATTTGGCAGAAAAAAATTCCTGGATATAAACTTTCTGATGGTTATTTTTTACTATACACAAATTCAACTAAGGCACTCTAACATCAGAGGTTAAAAAAGATAAAGTAGTAATATGAGACTAAATGAAATCCATAAAGATAATACTACAGTTTATCAAAGTAAAGTTCTTATTATAAATGGTCCATTCACAAGAAAATGCTAAAGAGGTTTCTAAAGGAGCTAAAATTAGTGATTATCTAAGAGCATAAGTTAACTAAATTATCCGACTTAATAGAGAAGGAAAGTCATGAAAAAAGGTACTTAAGAAACAGACAACTAAAGAAGTGAAATTAAGCTCATGCATTCAGGGTTTTTAACTGAAGTGCCCTAAGTTGTATATAGCTAACAGTTTGTTAAACAGTTTGGGTGTAGGTCAATGGGTGCTAAACTGCTGGAATTGCCTCTAAGGCTTTTAAAGCTCTGTAAAACAACAGTATCCTATAATTAATATCTGTACTTTTACTATTCAATAAAGCAATAAAATCCATTTAAACATTTTTAAATATCAGTATGCATATATAATAAAACAGACAACAAAGGAAATTCAAATATAACTGAATTGGGCAGGCCTGGCAGCTCACACCTGTAATCCTAGCACTTTGGGAGGCCGAGGCGAGGGGATTAAGATTAACCTAAGCAACATAGTGAGAACGCATCTCTAAAAAAATATATTTTAAAAATTAACTGGGCATGGTGGTGCACACCTGTACTCCTAGCTACTGAGGAGGCTGAAGCAGGAACACTGCTTGAGCCCAGGAGTTTGAGGCTGCAGTGAACTATGATTGGACACCTCAGGATTTTAATTTTCTACACGTGAACGGAACTCCAGTTAGCCTGTAAAACATATCACAATAGTTTCCTAGTCTACCTACCTCCAGTCCTACCCCTCAAATCCACATACCAACAAATAGACATACCAAAAGAGAATTATATAATACTTTGCTATATAAAATCCAGCAACAGCTCCCCAGTGCCCACAGAATATGAGATTCTAAGGTCCCTGATATGGCTCACATGAAGATTCTGCCTAGTTCTTTTATTATCTCATGTCACTTCCTACCTCACATATTTCCTCTTATAATACCTAATTGCTTGCTGTTCCCAGCAAACAACATCAATCTCTCCTTTAGCTTTTGTGACACTACAATCTCTTGTCTTTCCTCCCACTCCATTTATGTCCTTTGCTCCTCATCCTATGCTTGAAGTCTAAATTTTGCAAAGTTCAAGCCTGGTCTTACACCCTTTGTTTATTATCTACCAGTTGGTCTAAGCCAATCCCAAGGCTTAAGTATCATAGATAGAAAGAAGACTTCAAAATTTGTATTTGTAGTCCTTACCTTTACTCTAAATTCCACATCCTCATTTGATTTCTACCAGACAACTCAGTCTCCACCACTTCTAAACTCCAGTTGCTCCTCTAGTCATCCCTATTTCAGGAAATGGCACCAATATTTTCCCAGCTGCTCAAGCCAAACTCCTAAGAGACATTTTGATTTATCTTCCTCTAACCACACCCACCCCTATACATCATCAATCAGTGGAGATATAGTTCTATCTCCACTACCACTACATGATACAAGCTTCCATCATCTCTTGTCTATCATATTGTAATATCCTACTAACTGGCCTGTCCACCACTATTGTCTCCCTCCAATTCATTTTCCACAGAGCATCTAGAGTCATCACTTCAAAATGTCAGAGACATTGTGTCACTCCACCACTTAAAGCCCTCTAAAGACTTTCTTATTACACTCAGAATAAAATACGAACTTCTTACAATTTCTAAAAGCATCTTCGTAATCTGGCCCTTGCCTCTCTTTCCAATTGCACCTCATACCATTCTCTTCCTTGAATACTATGCTCTTTTAATAATTAACTCTCTTGATACTGTTTACATCTATCTGTTCCTTAAGCATACCAAGCTCCTTCTCTACCTTAAGATCTTTGTACATGCTATTCATTGTTTTTGGAATGATCTGTCCCCAAATCTCAGAATGGCTGGCTCTTTCTTATCTTTCAGATCTCAGCTCAAATGTCATCTTTCTGAGAAGATATCCCATGATCACCCACCCTAAGTAATAACCCCTAGTTGAGCATACTCATCCTCACTTCTCTCCTCCCTCTCTCTCTCTCTCTCAATCCTCTTTTGCTCACTCTCTCTCACACACACACACACGCACACACGTGTATGTTCCATGAGAATAGAATATGTTCACAGCTGCATCCCCAACTCCTAGTACAATGCCTGGAATACATCAAGTGATCCATACATATCAGTCAAATGTCTCTGCTAACTGCCACAGCTCATAACCATTCCTATTTTAGTTAATTCCTTCTACTAGACGGATACATTATTTTATTCACCTTTAAACCCTCTTTAATACCTTTAAGTCTATCACATAAAAGTCTGTAATTCTTTCCACTGCAGTGGTATGTTATTTTATTCACCTTGAATCTCTCTTTATAATTTTAAGTGGGGGCACATAAGTTTGTACACTAATTTGAATTATTTCTCCTTCTTGCTCCAAACATAACTAAAATCTCTATAATATGTTATAAAACTTTGGCTTGTCTATTCTGGGCTCTAGCCTTCTGGATAGTTTTTTATGAATCTTTACCATTCTCCTTTGTATTTAATTATGAGCTCTTCCATTATGTATGTATGTGTATATGTGTACTCCTAGTTTAGCTCTTAACTTCATACTTTTGCATCCTAAAGTTATAACTCTAAAGGTAATAGTATGAATTATTTAAGTTTACTCTTACTCTAATATGCCACATCATAAAATAGACTGCAAATAGATCTGAAAACAATACTATTACTGTTTCATTACACCAATAGTGCATCGAAAGTCTATTTATTTATTTATTTACTTATTTATTTATTTCGAGACAGAGTCTCGCTCTGTCACCCAGGCTGGAGTGCAGTGGCACGATCTTGGCTCACTGCAACCTTTGCCTCCCAGGTTCAAGAGATTCTCCTGCCTCAGCCTCCTGAATAGCTGGGATTACAGGCACCCACCACCACAACCGGCTAATTTTTGTATTTTTAACAGATACAGGGTTTGACCATGTTGGTCAGGCTGGTCTTGAACTCCCAACCTCGTGATCTGCCTGCCTCGGCCTCCCAAAGTACTGAGATTACAGGCGTGAGCCACCAGGCCCAGCCAAGAGTCTAATCATGAGCTAACCAGGTAAGCCAGACTATTGTGGACCTCCTTATAATGTTGAGATTATATATTTGTAAATAATGACATAAAATTACCTAATTTAAACATTTTCCATGCAGTAAAAAGTAATAATAATAATTTTACTTTGTGATTCTCACCTCTGGCTTCCGTTCTTGTAACTTACTATATTGTAGATTTGCATCACCAATTTCTTCCACAGACTGGGGCATAATTGTTAAGACTTCCATAGCCTCAGTAACAAATGTATCAATTTCATGTAAATGAGCTGAGTGGTAACATTGAAATACAAGAAATGTTAATTATTACCATCAAAAATACTAAGTTACATAATTTCTAAATCAAGGGGTGGTAGAAGTAATCAGTACATGGAATACAATAAGTTCTAAATTATCATTTGCTTTCATAAAACAAAATTTCAAGATGTGGAATAAGCAAAGAAATTTCTTCCCATGAAAGTTTAGTTGTTTCACGTTGTATTTAAAAATTTTAAGAAAAGCTTAAAATGCATTACTGCATTTTTCGTCTTTTATACAACATACTAAAACATCTCAGTTTTAAAGAAAAAGAAGAAACTGTGGTATTTTGAAAAATACTTTGTCATTTGAGGAGATAAGCAGAAATACATTATATCAGAATTATCTACCTTTCTCAGCTACATATGCAACAATCTAATACTAGCTCAGACTGCAAATAATAAAGATGTCTTCATTAGACCTCCTAATGATTGAATATGGACTTTTCCTGCTTTTTTTAAATTAGTTCAGTTTTGGTTTTTAATGATCATTGAAATTCACATTTTATAACTATCAAAGTACATGCTTCTACATATCAAATTAAGTAAAAATAAAAATTAAAATGTGTATTTACCCTGTATGGACTTCTTCAAAGAAAGAACAAGCAGATCAAATAACTTCTGGATGAGATCATCAATCACAGTCTTCACAGGGTTGCAATTAATATTTAAACAATCTACCTTGACAGCACTGAAAAATGTCAATGGACATATTTTGACATGGAAAAGACTAATTAGAGGAAAAGAGTCTCATATAATATTATAATGATTTCATGTAATACACTTAAAAATGTATGTCAGCAGTAATATGGTGATCTTTAAGCACATTTAGATTTAATTTAGCAAAAATGCCTTATACATACTATTTTGAAGTTTTTCATTGAGCAATAATTTTGTTACAATACTAGAAGTTTAATCATCCAGCATATCAGCTTCAAAAAAAGGTGGTATGTTATGAATTAGTAAAGTGTCAAAAGAATATATTTAAATATTAATGAGCTTCTCTTGTCACAGCATGTAACACACCTATTTAAATATTTATAAAATAAATTTACTATCCTGTAGCCAAAATACAAACAATAAAAATAAGGCAAAATTAAATGTAGATAGAAAGTGAATTTAGATTATTAAAGCACTAAAACAATAAAACGATAAGACACCATTTTACACTTATCAAATTGAAAAAAAATGTAATGAATGGTTACTTTGAATCTTCAATTTTGTGGGCAAACAGAATTCCCAGAACTGTTAGAATATAAAACAATGCAATCTTTGTAAAGAGCAATGTACACGTCAAATAATTTTAAACTGGCATATCCTTTGTCTTAACAACTCTACCTTTAGAATTTATCCTAAGACAAATTTCAAGGCAGGCTCCAAGATTTATACACAAGCATTTTCATGAAAGCACTAACTATAATAGTGAAAAGTTTGAAACAAGATAAATATAGAAATGGCAAAATAAATTTTTATATATACCTATAATTAAAAATCACATTTTTGATGTGCAGATGATAACATGGAAAAATACCGATGAAATAGTATTCCATAAAAATAGCAGAATAGGCCAGGCACAGTGGCCTGTAATCCTAGCACTTTGGGAGGCAGAAGCAGGTGGATCGCCTGAGGTCAGGAGTTCAAAACCAGCCTGGCCCACATGGTGAGACCCCTGTCTCTACTAAAAATATAAAAATTAGCCAGGCATGGTGGCGCACGCCTGTAATCCCAGCTACTCAGGAGGCTGAGGTAGGAGAATTGCTTGAACCCAGAAGGCAGGGGTTGCAGTAAGCCGAGATCACACTACTGCACTCCAGCATGGGTGACAGAGTGAGATTCAGTCTCAAAAAATAAACAAACAAAAAAACAAATAGCAGGATATAATATAATCTACATTTTATAAGTGTATTAATATGTCCAAAACATCAAATATTAACAGGAATTGTCTCTGTACTTCACTACATTTAAAACAATTTATAAAACAAATGTACTATTTTAATAATCAGAAAACAAGTATAAAGTTTTTAAATGAGTAATTATTTCCATTGTACCCCAACGCAAATTGTAATGTCCTAACCAAAGAGAAGCTGATCCAGACTCAGTCATCTGAGGAAAATCTCATATTTATCTTAAATTATACAAAGTTAAAACAAATCTGAAAACTTTGGTCAAAAAGGTTATTCGGAAAGCTATTTGCCTTTCTTAAAGCATAGAGCCAGGTGAGATCCTTAAGAGGCAAATTATATGTTTTAATTACATACCATTTTATTTGAAAATATAATTTTCTTTTAAAGTTTTACTTATTTATTCTCAATCACCTACTAGCTGGATAAGTTTAAACTACAGTTCTTAACAACCAAAAGCTATATATAACAGCCAATTTTCTTGACACATGAAGTTATAAAATTTCTGAAATCCTGACACGTAAAGACTCATGATTTATGATACTTGATACATGAAGATATGTGATTTTGGTAAACCTAAAAGGTTATATTATACTGTATTTTGCTAATGAATTAACATAAAGTGATCTAATTACAGCAAAGAAGTTTTACTCACTAACTACGGAGTGCTGTGGACAAGGCTAACATTCATCTTTCATTTGAAAATATTCACAATATGAAACTGAGATTCTGTTCAGCCATAGATAGAAATGGAAGATGACTCATTATATATCAAAGATGCATATTCAAAAATGATTTTCTTATGATACTATCTAAAATACATCACTAGAACATAGCTTTTCTAATCTTACAGCATTTCCAAAAAGTACCGATGAAATAAATGTGTATGTTTGTATGTGCATATGTATGTATTCACTTAGATGAATACATGTTAATTTGTTAGCAAGAAATGACAAAATGAAAAATACAGTGTGGGATAGGCATTGTTGTTTTTATTTTTTTTTCTTTTGGCAAGGATCATAAATAGGAAAGCTATCTATAGTAAGGGACAAAAAAATAGTAGAGGAAGCAGTAGAGGTTCTTAGGCAGTCAGGTGACAGCATTAAGTCAAAGAAGATGGGCAAGATTGGGATCAAAGGCAAGGCCCAACAGAGAAGAAAAACCCCATGTGCAAGCACTACAAAAGCACTATCTTTTCCTTACTTTAAACTAATATTAATGGTCCTACCAGTATCCAAATCACCCACGCTCAAACCCTCAAGTCATTTGTCTCTTCCTATTCCTAATCCCTCATCTTCCTCCAATAAATAAAACTTAATTCCTCATACTATTTCCTCCTCCTCATTTTGAGTTCCAACAAGATAATTCAATTAATTATTATGGCCGGGCATGGTGGTTCATGCCTGTAATCCCAGCACTCTGGGAGGCCAAGGTGGGCAGATCACCTGAGGTCAAGAGTTGGAGACCAGCCTGGCCAACATAATAAACCCCACCTCTACTAAAAATACAAAAAATTAGCCAGGCGTGGTGGCACGTGCCTGTAGTCCCAGCTACTCAGGAGGCTGAGGCAGGGGAATCACTTAAACCCAAGAGGTGGAGGTTGCAGTGAGCATATATCATGCCACTACACTCCAGCCTGGGTGACACAGCAAGACTCTGTCTCAAAAAAAAAAAATAACTAATTATCATTATTATTACTGGTCTTCTGGATGACTGACAGACTAGCCAGTATGCCTCCAGGATCTCTTTATCCCACCGTATATCTGTGTTTCCAGATTAAATTTCCTAACGAACAGCTTTGGTACTGACACACTCCTGTTTAGAACCCTTTAAAAGCTAATCATCCCAAAATGAATAAAATCCAAATTCTCTATTTTTGAATGTAAGACTCCCAGATCTATACCTTATCTACACCTTTCCAGGATCATCTCCCTCTAGTCTCTAATAAAACATTAACTCTAATAACAATTTCAATTAACCAACTTCATATTTTCAGCACACAATTCCTGTTGCTAAGAGGTTCTTTTTTGCCCTCCCATTTTCATTTGCACCTGTCAAAATCCTAGTTCCAGTGTTACTATCCTAACAAAGATTTTCCTTGATTTTGCCCCAGACAGAGGGGATGTCATCATCCTCTGAATCCCCATAGTTTTAGTTCAGTTTTAATATGGAATATAGACTATTCCACTTGATACTAATCACAATTAAAAGTAACTAACATTTATTGAAAATATAACCTGTGCCAGTTACTTATATGGAAACACTTACTTATCTCAAAACACTATGAGATTACTAACTATTGTTGCTAATATTTTAAAGCTAAAGAAATTTAGGTTCACAATTTCAATGACTGTCAGTCATACAGCTGGTAACAGCTGCCTAACTCCAGAGCCCACTTACTTAACCCCTGTGTGTACTTGACTTAATCATCAAATATATTTGTCTTATTGCACTACCAGAGAATAAGCAATTCATCTTAGGTCCTCTGTCTTCTTCCTCTTTGTACTCCTAAAGCACAAAGTTTTGCATTTTATAAATGTGCACTAAGTATTTATTGAAATAATGAAAACATAAATTAATAAAAGTGATATTATCCTTTAGAGGTGACATATGCATGATTACACAAGGCCTTTCATGGAACTTATTACTAAGAGTGGTTCTAGTGGTGAGTATTTTAGATACAAGGAGACTATATTCTCAAGTAGCTGAGTTGCCCCTCAGAGGCTTTTGTCCACATTTAGGGCAATATCTAGATGCAGCACTATGTTGTGTGCCTTCCAGGACATCTTGAAAGGAAGCAGAGCAGTACAAAAGCAGAGTGAAATGTCACTAGCTTTATATTGTCTAGTATGCTCTCACCAGTAGCTTCTAACCATACTGAGATTGTGCCAATGCATATCAAACATAGCTCTTCATACCAGATGAAGATAGAAGCCTCTTTCTTCAGTCTATTTTACCTAAATAGGTCTCCGCCAGCAGAGCTTCTAGAAGGAAAACTTGTTTTATTATCTGTAATGCCCTACCTAGATGATACTCAAGTGTCATAAATGAGATCTGGAGGAGGCAAGAAGCTGATGTGACTTCAATGCCACTAAGTAGAGAGCTCCCTTACTGTCCATGTCAAAAAATTATTATGGTACGTAAGTACTACATTAACCTCCAATACCTTGGAAGTCGTTCTACTTCTTTCCCCTTTATTTTTAATGCTTTAAAATTTTTCTCCCAATCATGTACAGTAAAAAGATGCTTTTCCACCAGAGCTTCCATATCAACTTGCCCAATTACAATCCATTCCTATTTAAAGAAAGAAAAAATGTATTATTAAAGACACAGAACCAATATGTTAACATATAATAGAATAGGATTCAACTATTAAAACCAATAAAAAGAGGAAAATATGAGGTATTCAAGTGTCAATTTAAGTAATATAATCATTACTGCACAGCCTAAAGAATAAACAGAAAAAAGAGATTTAATATGCAAATGCAGTGATCATAAACTTTTAAAGAAAATTATATAAACCCTCTGTTTAGATTCTCTTCTCAAATTAAATAATACAAAACTTCAAAGGTGGAATCATTTCTGCAAAATCAAGAGTCACTATAGGCTACAAATCTGAAAGGGTCCAGATTCATCCTAGAAATCTAAGACACAGAAGTATTGCAGTGGCAGTTAAGAAACTGGTCAAATTTTCAGTCATATGTCTCAGCATCAATACAAATGAGAAATACAATTAGTTTATACTTAAAGTTAGTTGGGATGATATACTTAAACGGAAATAAGCTGTTAAATAGCCCTGATTTCAGTAACATTTGAGGGCTTCAGAAGAAGAATTCAAATTGACACAACAGAACCATATCACATTCTAAACTGACACATTTTCTTTTTTTCTTGACATGGAGTCTCGCTCTGCCACCCAGCCTGGAGTACAGTGGTGCGATCTAAGCTCACTGAAACCTCCATCTCCCTGGTTTAAATGATTCTCCTACTTCAGCCTCCATGGTAATTGGGATTACAGGTGACCACCACCATGCCCAGATAATTTTTGTATTTTAATAAAGATGATGTTTCGCCATGTTGACGAGGCTGGTCTCAAACTCCTGACCTCAAATGATCCATTAGCCTCAGCCTCCCAAAGTGCCAGGATTACAGGCATGAGCCACCACGCCCAACCCACCAAGATGACACAACTATTTTAAAAAATAAAAAGCGAAGATGGCCAAATAGGAACAGCTCCCATCTACAGTTCCCAGCGTGGGCGACGCAGAAGACAGGTGATTTCTGCATTTCCATCTGAGGTACCAGGTACATCTCACTAGGGAGTGCCAGACAGTGGGCACAGGACAGTGGGTGCAGCGCATCGTGCGTGAGCCGAAGCAGGGCGAGGCATTGCCTCACTCGCGAAGTGCAAGGAGTCAGGGAGTTCCCTTTCCTAGTCAAAGAAAGGGGTGACAGACGGCACCTGGAAAATCGGGTCAATCCCACCCTAATACTACACTTTTCCAATGGGCCTCAAAAATGGCACACCAGGAGATTATATCCTGCACATGGCTGGGAGGGTCCTATGCCCATGGAGTCTCGCTGACTGCTAGCACAGCAGTCTGAGATCAAACTGCAAGGTGGCAGCGAGGCTGTGGGAGGGGCACCCGCCATTGCCCAGGCTTGCTTAGGTAAACAAAGCAGGTGGGAAGCTCGAACTGGGTGGAGCCCACCACAGCTCAAGGAGGCCTGCCTGCCTCTGTAGGCTCCACCTCTGGGGGCAGGGCACAGACAACAAAAAGACAGCAGTAACCTCTGCAGAATTAAATGTCACTGACAGCTTTGAAGAGAGCAATAGTTCTCCCAGCATGCAGCTGGAGATCTGAGAACGGGCAGACTGCCTCCTCAAGTGGGTCCCTGACCCCTGACCCCTGACCCCTGAGCAGCCTAACTGGGAGGCACCCCCCAGTAGGGGCAGACTGACACCTCAGACGGCCGGGTACTCCTCTGAGACAAAACTTCCAGAGGAAGGATCAGACAGCAGCATTCGTGGTTCACGAAAATCTGCTGTTCTGTAGCCACCGCTGCTGATACCCAGGCAAACAGGGTCTGGAGTGGACCTCTAACAAACTCCAACAGACCTACAGTTGAGGGTCCTGTCTGGTAGAAGGAAAACTAACAAACAGAAAGGACATCCACACCAAAAACCCATCTGTACATCACCATCATTGAAGACCAAAAGTAGATAAAACCACATGGGGAAAAAAACAGAGCAGAAAAACTGGAAACTCTAAAAAGCAGAGTGCCACTCCTCCTCCAAAGGAATGCAGTTCCTCACCAGTAACGGAACAAAGCTGGACGGAGAATGACTTTGACGAGTTGAGAGAAGAAGGCTTCAGACGATCAAATTACTCTGAGCTACAGGAGGATATTCAAACCAAAGGCAAAGAAGTTAAAAACTTTGAAAAAAATTTAGATGAATGTATAACTAGAATAACCAGTACAGAGAAGTGCTTAAAGGAGCTGATGGAGCTGAAAGCCAAGACTCGAGAACTACGTGAAGAATGCAGAAGCCTCAGGAGCCGATGCGATCAACTGGAAGAAAGGGTACCAGCAATGGAAGATGAAATGAATGAAATGAACCGAGAAGGGAAGTTTAGAGAAAAAAAGAATAAAAAGAAATGAGCAAAGCCCCCAAGAAACATGGGACTATGTGAAAAGACCAAATCTACGTCTGATGGGTGTACCTGAAAGTGACGGGGAGAATGGAACCAAGTTGGAAAACATTCTGCAGGATATTATCCAGGAGAACTTCCCCAATCTAGCAAGGCAGGCCAACATTCAGATTCAGGAAATACAGAGAATGTCACAAAGATACTCCTCGAGAAGAGCAACTCCAAGACACATAATTGTCAGATTCACCAAAGTTGAAATGAAGGAAAAAAGGGCAGCCAGAGAGAAAGGTCAGGTTACCCACAAAGGGAAGCCCATCAGACTAACAGGGGATCTCTCAGCAGAAACTCTACAAGCCAGAAGAGAGTGGGGGCCAATATTCAACATTCTAAAGAAAAGAAGTTTCAACCCAGAATTTCATATCCAGCCAAACTAAGCTTCATAAGTGAAGGAGAAATAAAATACTTTACAGACAAGCAAATGCTGAGAGATTTTGTCACCACCAGGCCTGCCCTAAAAGAGTTCCTGAAGGAAGCACTCAACATGGAAAGGAACAACTGGTACCAGCCGCTGCAAAATCATGCCAAAATGTAAAGACCATCGAGCCTAGGAAGAAACTGCATCAACTAACGAGCAAAATAACCAGCTAACATCACAATGACAGGATCAAATTCACACATAACAATATTAACTTTAAATGTGAATATTAAAGACACAATTAAAAGACACAGACTGGCAAATTGGATAAAGAGTCAAGACCCATCAGTGTGCTGTATTCAGGAAACCCATCTCACGTGCAGAGACAACATAGGCTCAAAATAAAAGGATGGAGGAAGATCTACCAAGCAAATGGAAAACAAAAAAAGGCAGGGGTTGCAATCCTAGTCTCTGATAAAACAGACTTTAAACCAACAAAGATCAAAAGAGACAAAGAAGGCCATTACATGATGGTAAATGGATCAATTCAACAAGAAGAGCTAACCATCCTAAATATATATGCACTCAATACAGGAGCACCCAGATTCATAAAGCAAGTCCTGAGTGACCTACAAAGAGACTTAGACTCCCACACAATAATAATGGAAGACTTTAACACCCCACTGTCAACATTAGACAGATCAACGAGACAGAAAGTTAACAAGGATACCCAGGAATTGAACTCAGCTCTGCACCAAGTGGACCTAATAGACATCTACAGAACTCTCCACCCCAGATCAACAGAATATACATTTTTTTCAACACCACACCACACCTATTCCAAAATTGACCACATAGTTGGAAGTAAAGCTCTCCTCAGCAAATGTAAAAGAACAGAAATTATAACAAACTGTCTCTCAGACCACAGTGCAATCAAACTAGAACTCAGGATTAAGAAACTCACTCAAAACCGCTCAACTACATGGAAACTGAACAACCTGCTCCTGAATGACTACTGGGGTACATAACGAAATGAAGGCAGAAATAAAGATGTTCTTTGAAACCAACGAGAACAAAGACACAACATACCAGAATCTCTGGGACACATTCAAAGCAGTGTGTACAGGGAAATTTATAGCACTAAATGCCCACAAGAGAAAGCAGGAAAGATCCAAAATTGACACCCTAACATCACAATTAAAAGAACTAGAAAAGCAAGAGCAAACACATTCAAAAGCTAGCAGAAGGCAAGAAATAACTAAAATCTGAGCAGAACTGAAGGAAATAGAGACACAAAAAACCATTCAAAAAATTAATGAATCCAGGAACTGGTTTTTTGAAAGGATCAACAAAATTGATAGACCGCTAGCAAGACTAATAAAGAAAAAAAGAGAGAAGAATCAAATAGATGCAATAAAAAATGATAAAGGGGATATCACCACCGATCCCACAGAAATACAAACTACCATCAGAGAATACTACAAACACCTCTACGCAAATAAACTAGAAAATCTAGAAGAAATGGATAAATTCCTCGACACATACACCCTCCCAAGACTAAACCAGGAAGAAGTTGAATCTCTGAATAGACCAATAACAGGCTCTGAAATTGTGGCAATAATCAATAGCTTACCAACCAAAAAGAGTCCAGGACCAGATGGAGTCACAGCCGAATTCTACCAGAGGTACAAGGAGGAACTGGTACCATTCCTTCTGAAACTATTCCAATCAATAGAAAAAGAGGGAATCCTCCCTAACTCATTTTATGAGGCCAGTGTCATCCTGACACCAAAGCCGGGCAGAGACACAACCAAAAAAGAGAATTTCAGACCAATATCCTTGATGAACATCGATGTAAAAATCCTCAATAAAATACTGGCAAACCAAATCCAGGAGCACATCAAAAAGCTTATCCACCATGATCAAGTGGGCTTCATCCCTGGGATGCAAGGCTAGTTCAATATACACAAATCAATAAATGTAATCCAGCATATAAACAGAACCAAAGACAAAAACCACATGATTATCTCAATAGATACAGAAAAGGCCTTTGACAAAATTCAACAATGCTTCATGCTAAAAACTCTTGATGAGATGTATCTCAAAATAATAAGAGCTATCTATGACAAACCCACAGCCAATATCATACTGAATGGGCAAAAACTGGAAGCATTCCCTTTGAAAACTGGCACAAGACAGGGATGCCCTCTCTCACCACTCCTATTCAACATAGTGTTGGAAGTTCTGGCCAGGGCAATTAGGCAGGAGAAGTAAATAAAGGGTATTCAATTAGGGAAAGAGGAAGTCAAATTGTCCCTGTTTGCAGATGACATGATTGGATATCTAGAAAACCCCATTGTCTCAGCCCAAAATCTCCTTAAGCTGATAAGCAACTTCAGCAAAGTCTCAGGATACAAAATCAATGTACAAAAATCACAAGCATTCTTATACACCAATAACAGACAAACAGAGAGCCAAATCATGAGTGAACTCCCATTCACAACTGCTTCAAAGAGAATAAAATACCTAGGAATCCAACTTACAAGGGACGTGAAGGACCTCTTCAAGGAGAACTACAAACCACTGCTCAATGAAATAAAAGAGGATACAAAGAAATGGAAGAACATTCCATGCTCATGGGTAGGAAGAATCAACATCATGAAAATGGCCATACTGCCCAAGGTAATTTATAGATTCAATGCCATCCCCATCAAGCTACCAGTGACTTTCTTCACAGAATTGGAAAAAACTACTTTAAAGTTCATATGGAACCAAAAAAGAGCCCACATTGCCAAGTCAATCCTAAGCCAAAAGAACAAAGCTGGAGGCATCACGCTACCTGACTTCAAACTATACTACAAGGCTACAGTAACCAAAACAACATGGTACTGGTACCAAAACAGAGATATAGATCAATGGAACAGAACAGAGCCCTCAGAAATAAGGCCACTTATCTACAACTATCTGATCTTTGACAAACCTGAGAAAAACAAGCAATGGGGAAAGGATTCCCTATTTAATAAATGGTGCTGGGAAAACTGGCTAACCATATGTAGAAAGCTGAAACTGGATCCCTTCCTTACACCTTATACAAAAATTAATTCAAGATGGATTAAAGACTTAAACGTTAGAGCTAAAACCATAAAAACCCTAGAAGAAAACCTAGGCATTACCATTCAGGACATAGGCATGGGCAACGACTTCATGTCTAAAACACCAAAAGCAATGGCAACAAAAGCCAAAATTGACAAATGGGATCTAATTCAACTAAAGAGCTTCTGCACAGCAAAAGAAACTACCATCAGAGTGAACAGGCAACCTACAAAATGGGAGAAAATTTTTGCAACCTACTCATCTGACAAAGGGCTAATATCCAGAATCTACAATGAACTCAAACAAATTTACAAGAAAAAAACAAACAACCCCATCAAAAAGTGGGCAAAGGACATGAACAGACACTTCTCAAAAGAAGACATTTATGCAGCCAAAAAACACATGAAAAAATGCTCACCATCACCGGCCATCAGAGAAATGCAAATCAAAACCACAATGAGATACCATCTCACACCAGTTAGAATGGCAATCATTAAAAAGTCAGGAAACAACAGGTGCTGGAGAGGATGTGGAGAAATAGGAACACTTTCACACTGTTGGTGGGACTGTAAACTAGTTCAACCACTGTGGAAGTCAGTGTGGCTATTCCTCAGGGATCTAGAACTAGAAATACCATTTGACCCAGCCATCCCATTACTGGGTATATACCCAAAGGACTATAAATCATGCTGCTATAAAGACACATGCACACGTATGTTTATTGTGGCACTATTCACAATAGCAAAGACTTGGAACCAATCCAAATGTCCAACAATGATAGACTTGATTAAGAAAATGTGGCACATATACACCATGGAATACTATGCAGCCATAAAAAATGATGAGTTCATGTCTTTTGTAGGGACATGGATGAAATTGGAAATCATTATTCTCAGTAAACTATCGCAAGAACAAAAAACCAAACACCGCATGTTCTCACTCATAGGTGGGAATTGAACAATGAGAGCACATGGACACAGGAAAAGGAACATCACACTCTGGGGACTGTTGTCGGGTGGCGGGAGGGGGGAGGGATAGTATTAGGAGATATACCTAATGGTAAATGACGAGTTAATGGGTGCAGCACACCAGCATGGCACATGTATACATATGTAACCTGCACATTGTGCACATGTACCCTAAAAATTAAAGTATAATAATAATAAAATAAATAAAATAAAAAATAAAAAATAAAAATAAAAAACCAAAAAAAACAAGTTTCTCAATTGTCACAAAATAATCAAAGACAAAAAAAAAATCTTTCCCATAACTTTTTTCTCTTCTGAAGTATAAATCTAGGTTGTATAAGTATCTACGAATCCAGCTCTCTGCTTTGCCATATTTTAATGTTATGCCACACAAGGTAAACTATTAATGTATACATTTAATGTAAATTCAATCAATCAGAAATAATTTTATGATGGAAGGATGGAACATTACATGTTCTATACCTTATGTTGGTGTAAAACAGCTGACAATCTTCTAAACAGATCTTCTGCTTTGCTGAAAATCGTCAAAAATCCACTTGCATTTCTATCAATCATAATAGAAAAAATAGATTCATCTCCTGCCTCACCCACTCCCTTAAACTGATTTGGAATGCCGATGAATCTCTTCATTTCTCTATAATATTTAGCCCGGATTTCTTCAAAAGGGGGCCTGAATTGTAATCGTCCCTGTCTAAAAGTAAATAAATAACTTTAAAACATAAATTGTTAGAAAATTATACAATGAACATTAAATTGGGGTTGAAAAAACATCTTACTTGTAAGTTAAGTCTATATTTATTTCTGGCAAATTCTCATTAAGTGCTTCTAAGCCCATCTGGTACTGATGCTCCAGAGCTTTGTACAGTTGATGATTCCAGTGTTGTTTCCATGCATGCATGTCACTTGCTTGGAATCCCTAATATGTTACATTCACATTTTTAATTTAAAAATTAGGCAGTAGAATGGATTTTTCATTTAATACTTTCATGTCACATAATGCACAATTATAATCACAAAAATAAAACCAACTCATTTCAAATATGTAAAACTGGTACATCCTTGTTACTCTCCGTATAAGTTTATTTAGAGACAAATATGAAAATCTAATCTTCATACTTATAAATACTATTTTAAAAGATCAGCAAAATTTAAAAACCAAGCAAATATTAAATGACTTTCATATTTGGACTTTATTTTATGATGTAGTACCACAAATACTGGTTTATTTTGTGAACTTCTTGGTCCTTTTTCAAAAATTCCCATCAAGTATAGCTCTTCTCTTCCCTTCCCACTTCTTACATAATGTAAATCTACTACGTATTTTAAAACATATGAGATTTAAAATATTAGATTGCTCATAAGAATTTACATACTTTTTTGCTTCTATACAACCATAAATATATCCATTCTAGTAGTACTTTTGCCTTTTCTTGAAGTTATAAAAACTGAAAAATATTAAATATATGTAAATGTGTGAGACATCTAACTCATATTCTGCTAAGATTTCATTACCATCTACTATGTAGCAGGCTTTGTGCTAGCCACCTTTATATGCATCAACTATTATATCAAAATATGAATAGAACTCAAATTTTACCTCCAAAAAGGAAAAAAATCTGGAATAAAATTATTCCAATCATTAGGATTCTACCTAAACTTAACTTTGTTTTTTACGGCTATCACGATCACCTAGAAGAGAACTAATAAGTGATAGATATTTAAATACCAAGACAAAAACCTACAAATTCTGAATTGAGGAATTTGGCATTCCATAAGACACTACAGGAACTTATTTTTATATTTTTAAATGTAAATTGATTGTTCATATGTGGTCTTTATATATAATTCAGTCAAAAATTATAAATATATTAGGTATTTATTAGTAAGATTTAAAGATAACTTTTATGAACTTCTCGGCAATTCATATATTGTACTTACATTCTGAAAAGGTCATATTTCAAAGTATACACACAAAATAAAACATACTCTACCTGTGCTTCTACAGTTGCTAAGCCAGTTCTCAATTCTTGTAATCCATCTTTCCAGCGCTGTTGCTGCCGAAGCAGATCAATATTCATAAGAACAACCACCTATGAAAAATTAGAGCATGCTAGTCTCAAAGTATTGCTGGAAAAATAGTAACTTTTCAGTGGAGAAACCTGACAGATACCACCTTAACCAAGTGATCAAGTTTAACTTAATCTATACAAGACATATCAATACTTGACCAATGTACTGAGAAGGGCAAAACATCACTTCTGTGCTATTCCTGCCAAAATAAGATAGCCCCAATCTAATATGGGAAAACATCATATAAACCCAAATCAAGAGAGATTCTACAAAATAACTGATCAGTACTCATCAAAGTCATGAAAAACAAGGAAAAGACTGAGGAGGGGAGGCTAAAGAGACTCAACAACTAAGGGCAGAGTTGGATTCTAGATTGTATCCTGGAAAAAAAAAAGAATGTTAGTGGAAAATTGTAAAATTCAAAACAGTCTTTTTCCTGGTTTTGATAACTACTCCGGTTATATAAGTTGTTAACAACAGGGAATTTGGGCAAATGGGAATTGTGATTTCTCTGTACTATTTTTGTAACTTTAAGTCTCAAATTATTTCAAAATAAGTTTTTAAAAATTGTATCTTAATGACTTTTTAAATAATATCATTCATAGCTTATTCAATTTTATAAACAAAATATACCTTTTCACAAAATGTAGTGTGCCATTTTCTCAGTTTTCTATTTTCAGTGGCAAGCCGTTCAGCAGCATTTTGGAGTTTTTGGATATAGCCTTCTAATTCTTTAGGATTATCCCAAGTTATCTGTGATTTCCCTCCACTTCCTGCTTTTGAATTCTATGGTACAATAAATAACCTTTAGTATGTATAAGTATTTCTTTTTTCCAAAAGTTTCAATATTCTATATCAAAAGTTCAACTATCCCCAACTCTGACCTGCAACAAAGAAAGCACATAATAATTTTCCATTTTATAAATGATAAGGCAGTCTGGCAAAGATTGAGTAGCCCATTTCTTCCAGCTTCTCCCTTTTACAACTAAAAAGCCCTAGACATAACACAACAAACAAGCATAAGGTGACGGAAAGGAAGAATGAAGAAGGCAGACAGCCTAGAAACCTGAGGAATTAAGGCACGACAAACCTGGGTTTCCTTATTATCTCCTATACATCCAGGACAGGGCGCTAGAGAAGATTCCAATCTGGAACCACTGACAGGCACAGACTCAAAAACCTCCTATAAAGGGCTAGGAAAACAGCAGCCTAACAAGAGAAAACATTTTTAGCAATACACATCCTATTGTAGCTTAACACCAAGGAGAAAATCACCCCTTTCTAATGTTTCAGTGGGACTAAGTAAAAAGCTGATCTTCCATCACCTACTTGGCAAAAGCATGCAGTGTTCCAATCCCCCTGACAAGGTAATATTCATGAGGCTCAACAAGGAGCTGAGCTCCCACCCCACTCACAGTGGTGTGAATCTGCCCTCCACTCCTCTACTCCTCCTCCCTAACAGGGAGGAGTCAACAGGGCCCAGTAGGAAGCTGAGCTTACACCCCAGCTTGGAGGCAACAAGGTGCCTCCAAGTTGGTGCCTCACTTTCACAACAAGGTATCAGTAAAGTAAAATGGAGCACTAAACTTCCATTCCAGTCATCTGCAATGAATCAGTGTACAAATGCTCCACTTTGGTACTGTAGGGCCCAGCAGGAAACTCATCACACACACACACACACACACACACACCCCCAACCCTCTCAGCAAAGAGACTGTTTTCTAAAATATAAAAATTAAATATTATACAGTGCATCATAATATAATATCCAAAATGACCAGAATATAAGGGAAAATCACCTGTGATACCAAGAGCTAAAAAAAATCACAACTTGAATGAGAAAAGGTAACAGATGTGAACACTGAAATGAATCTGACATAAGAATTATCTGACAAGGATTTTAAGGCAGCCATCATAAAAATGCTTCAACAGGCAGTTACAAATTCTCTTGAAACTAGTGAAAAACAGAAAATCTCAAGAAAAAATAGAATTATAAAAAAAATGAGGTGGAATATATAGAACTGAAAAATACAGTAACAGAAATGTAAAACTGGCTGGATGGACTCAATAGCAGAGTGGAGATGTCAGAGGATGCAATGAGTACATTTGAGAAAAAATCAAGAGAGTTTATGTAATTTGAACAACAAAGAGAAAATAAAGGGAAAAATGAACAGAGGCCCTTGAGACAAAAGAGTTAATATATATATATTAGCTTCCAAGGATTTTGTATATATATACATACATGCTTCCTAAGCATTATATGTGTATACATATATACATGCTTCCTAAAAGGAAGAAGAGAGAAAAACTGAGAAAAACAATAAATTCAAAAAACAGTAACTGAAAACTTAACAAATGTGGCAAAAGACATAAACCTACAGATTCAAGAAGCTGAGTAAACCCCAAATAGGATAAAGTTAAAAAAGGATTCTATGCTTTCCTAGACAATAATTAAACTTCTGAAAACTAAAGACAAAGATTCTTTGAAATCTTGAATGGAGCCAAAGAGATACAATACATTATTCAGAAAGGAACACAAATTCAAATGACAGTAGTTTGTCAGCTGAAATCATGGATGCCAGCAGGACATGGAAAATGTTTAAAGTGCTAAAAAAAAAATGTCAAATATGCATTTCATATCTATTTAAAATATCCTTCAGGAATGAGGGAAAAGGAAAACAAGAAAACATTATCAGACAAAGGAAAGATAAGCAAATTTGTCACCAGCACACCTAATCTTAAACCATGGCTAAAGGAAGTTATTTCTTTAAAGAAGAAAAAAAAATATCCAAAGAAGCATAGAACTTCAGGGAAAAAAAAGAATACTGGGGAGACCATCCTGGCTAACACGGTGAAACCCCATCTCTACTAAAAAATACAAAAAAATTAGCTGGGCATGGTGGTGGGCACCTGTAGTGCCAGCTACTCTGAGGCTGAGGCAGGAGAATGGGTGAACCCGGGAGAGCTTGCAGTGAGCCGAGATTGCGACACTGCACTCCAGCCTGGGCGACAGAGCTAGACTCCATCTCAAAAAAAAAAGAATATTGGGATAAGTAAAAAATATAACTATATAGTAAACTATCCTTTTTGTCATGAGTTCTTTAAATCATATTTGATGATTAGGGGAAAAATTATAACACCATCTGAAGTGGTTTCAATGTATATAGGGAAAATATTTAAGACTAATATATGGAAGTAGAGAGACTGAAGAAACCTAAATAGAAGAAAAGTTTCTATACTTCACTTGAAGGGGACAATGAAGGCATAGTAAGTCTCTGGAATATAGGAGATGCTCAATAAATAGCTGATGAATTAAAAATTGTTTACTGAATAATTACTATATATCACTTACTGTTCTATTGCTTGAGAATATGAAAATAAATAAATTACAGTCTGATTTTCTACAATATAGTGAGTAGAGCATCATACAGAACCTTATGTTCTCTCTACACCTATGCTAGTTTTATAACCACTACTATGTCTCCTTTAACTTGTTAAATATATTTACTTCTCACAACACAATTTTACAAAATAAGTTTCCTCCTCAGAAATATCAACAGACTTTATTTTAAACAAATTTATTAGGGAAGAAAAAGTTGTAAGGACTTGCAGCTAAAATGATCTATACTTTAGAGGGAAAAGGTCAAAAATAATAAAGGGTGATTCCATTTCCAAAACTATGCATACATTTTTTAAAATATGCATACATTTTCAAAAATTTGCATAGAAAAATATTTGAAAGGATGTACACCAGACTTCTTAAAATGGTCATTTCTTCATGGCATGATTATACGACATCTCTTTTTGTTTACCTGTTTTTAAACTTTGCATTATAAACTCATGTTAATCTCTGCCAACAAGAAAAAAAGTGCTTTTAATAACATCTATAATATGAATGATGTAACTTCTAGAATTATCAAGCTTGAGAACTAGTGTGCAGAAAAGAGTTAACATAGCAGGTCTGACTACCATCCTTCAAAAGACCTGCTTAAAAGATGTCCCTTAGTTGGCATTTGGGAACTTAGATTTCAGAAGAGTTCCTACCACTCTGATAAGAGTGGCTCACTGTACCTAAATAATTTGGTTTATGCTGAATATTTGCTTTCCTTCTGGGAGTTTGGAATTTCAGTGCATACTAGGCAGAAAGTGTCTACGTGGCCATCCCCGATAAAAACCTAGGTTTTGAGTCTCTAATGATCTTCTCCAGTAACACGAAATTTCACGTGTTACAATTTGTTGCTGCAAAAAATAAGTACACCCTCTGTGATTCCACTGGGAGAAGACTCTTAGAAGTTCGTACCTGTTTTCTTGGGACTTCACCCCATCATGCACCTTTCCCTTTGCTGATTTTGCTTTGTATGCATTCACCGTAATAAATACTGCTATGAGTATGACCATACACTGAGTACTGTGGATCCTCTGAGCAAATCAAAGAATCTGGGGTGGTCCTGAGGATCCTGACACAACTAGTTATCCACTTTCAAATAGAAAAAAATAAAATGGTATATACCTCTTCTGCTTATTTTTGTCAAACATTTCATGTCTATGAAGACTAAAAATACAGACTTCAAAAAGTTAGTAGTCACATAGTAACATTCAGTTTAAACGCTATTATGGGTTTTCCTAATTTCTTTTTCTTTCTTTTTTTTCTTTTTTTTTGAGATGGAGTCGCTCTGTCTCCCAGGCTAGAGTGCAGTGGCACGATCTCGACCCACTGCAACCTCCACCTCCTGGGTTCAAGTGATTCTCCTGCATCAGCCTCCCGAGTAGCTGGGATTACAGGCACCCACCACCATGCCTGGCTAATTTTTTTGTATTTTTAGTTGAGATGGGGTTTCACCATGTTGGCCAGGCTGGTCTCAAACCCCTGATGTCAGGTGATCCACCCGCCTCGGCCTCGAAAGTGCTGGGATGACAGGCGTAAGCCACTGCACCCAGCCTCCTAATTTCTTATATACAGACATTTAAATAACCACAAATAAAAAGGAAAAAAATATTACATTACAAAATTGGGAGGTGGTGGGAAAGGTCTAAGGAAGCTTGTGTATAAGGACCTCAAACTTCAGAGGATAAATGAACATAACATCATACAAATCATTTTCTATCTATATCAATGCAATTGATCGAAATCAGTACCAAAATATATGAAATATTCTAACCACTTAAACCTACAGTTAGAAAAAATAATTTTACTTGCTAAGATTGAAGGAAGTCCCTGGAAGCAAAACAAAATCTAGATCATTTGATATATTAAGCTGAAGGGAACACCGGAAAATTAAGAATTAAACACTTCACATGTAAAATCTAATTATAATAAAATTAAAAGCCCATTTACCTTAATTATCTGTTCAAATGCTAAGGCAGATTGTAACATCATTGGCCTCTGACTTTGAATCATTTGTTGATCAATAGAATTATAAAAATGTGCCACCTACAAAGTAAAAGTCCAATTAGTAATAATTAATAACTTCATTTTTAATTTTTTATTTTTAATTGTTTGAATGAAAATGTTAACTTTTCTCAATCCTAAAATTTAAACAGAAAATTGGTTTTTCATCTCCAATAGGGCATTTGTTCATGTATTAATACACACAATCAACAAGTAAGTGTTGAGTTCCTACAATTTGCCAAGTCATGTCCTGAGGTCTGATTAAACATAGACTAGAAAACGTTGTCCGGAATCAAGAAGTTCACAATCTCATAGGAAAGAAGGAACTCACTGAAGCATGTTAAATGCTAAAAAACTAAATTCTTAATTCCTGCACTTCTCCAAATCTGCTCCTTCTTTTTTCAGTATATGCTACAATAATTTATTCATGTCTCAGACCAAAAATTCTTTGAGATATCCTTAATGCTTCTCTCATATTCCACATCAGCAAAAGTCTATTGCCTATACTCTCAAAATATATCTTGAATCCAACCACTTTCCCCAACCCCCATCAATTGCATCCCAATCCATACACTCTCCTCTCTTGGCAAGGCCAGTGCAACAGATTTCCTAACTGGTCTCTCTGCTTCCAATCATGGCCTCCTATAATCTATTCAAAGCAGCCAGAGTGGCCTTCTTTAAACATATATCACACCTCTTGCCTACACAAAACCTAATGACTTCCCAATACACCTGAGAATAAAACCCAAAAATCCCAAAACTATTACCTAAAAACTTTCAAATTGTCTCCCAATATACTAAAGAATGAGCCAAACTTGCCTTTTTACTATTATTCTCACCTAACAAGTGAGGCTTCCTTCTAGAATTCTGCATCTGCCATTCCCTCTCCCTGGAATAGTCTTCCTCTAGACATTTGCATGGTTCTTTTGCCTACTTTATGTCATGTCTCTTCTCAAATGTTACCTCTTCATCAAGGCATACCTAACCTGACCGGTCAGTATGAAATAGCAGTCTTTGTCACAATATCTTTATTCTGTTTTATTCTTCTTCAAGGCATTTATCACTATCACTGCCTAACACTGCATTATATATTTATGTGTTTGTTATCTGTCTCTCCAACTGGAATGACAGCTCTAAGAACAGAGCCAAGCAAACAGCAAGGACTCAATAAATGCTTGTTGAATTAATTAATAAATACAGATCCTACAAGGAACAGTGTTGGACAAAGGAGGACACTCTTAACTGTGTTGGTGGAAAAAGGAGCGGTTCAGGGAATAAGATCAAGTGGACACCCTGGGCTGAGTCTAAGGCATTTAAGGAAACTTAATTTTTGTGTCTCCAGCACCTCACAAAATTCTTGGCACATAGTAGATGCTTTAAAAATATTTCTTAACTAATTTTATAGAGATCTTCTTCTTTCCACTAATACATGTAAAAATATACTTTATTTGGTGGGGAAAACCCACTCTACTTATTCTGTACCACAAAAATAGGCCCAGAAAAAGTACAATCAAGAAAACCAGAAGCAATACAATAGTATATATTCTGTTACAATCTAGCCATACTGCTATCTATCCAACATTCTGCTTTATACACCCTATTCCAGCTAAATTCTGCTCAGAAATAAAGGCATATATAAATAGATTTTCCCAGTTGTTCTTCCAGGGTAAATACAAATACCTATGACCATTCATTTTTTGAGCTCCTATTGTGTCAGACTAAATACTTACCATATTAAAGTAAGCAAGCCTCTCTGCTTTTAAGTAGTCGCTCTGACTGAAATGATCACCCAACCCTCTGTGTACTTGAGAAAAACATATGTACACTCTTCCAGACTCACATCAATCATTCCTCTGAAAAGACTTACCTGCTACTACTTCTATCCCTACCTAGGAAAAGAATTGAAACTTCCTACCTCTATGCTTTCACAAGACTTCCTGAACATCTGTAATATAGTACTTATAATACATTAAATATTGATCTACTTGTTCACTATTTTGAAATGAAACAAATAGGCCGGCTGCGGTGGCTCACGCCTGTAATCCCAGCACTTTGGGAGGCCAAGGTAGGCGGATCACAAGGTCAGGAGATTGAGACCATCCTGGCTAACATGGTGAAACTCTATCTCTACTAAAAGTACAAAAAATATTAGCTGTGCTTGGTGGCGGGCCCCTATAGTCCCAGCTACTCGGGAGGCTGAGGCAGGAGAATGGCATGAACCCGGGAGGCGGAGCTTGCAGTGAGCTGAGATGGCACCACTGCACTCCAGCCTGGGCAACAGAGCGAGACTCCGTCTCAAAAAAAAAAAAAAAAAATATGAGTTCTAGAGTCAGAGAAACTTGATATCAAATCCCAGCTTCATAACTTACTATCTATGTGAAACTGGGAAAACTTTGTTAAACATCTGATCCTCAGTTAGATCAGTGGTACAATGGGGAATTAATTAAAAATAACATAACGAAAGCATCTACCACAAGGCCTGATATTTAATGAGCACTCAATGTTTAGTTTACTCTCTCCCACTAGACCAGTGATTCTCAACCAAAGCAGAGTATACCTCAGGGAACATTTGGCAATATCTAGAGATATTTTTGATTGGCAGTGCTAAGCAGATGCTACTGGATATACTAGGTGCAGGACAGGAATGCCAATAAAAAGCATACAAAGCAAAGCACAGCCCCCTAAAAAAAGAATTGATCCAAACTATCAAAAGTAAAGAGGCTAAGAAATTCTGTGCCTGACTATGATAGTACTGTATTCATTTTTATATCCTATGCTATGCCTGACAGGGTAGATATTCAATGAATCCTTGTTGAATAAAAGAATAAATGAAAGACCAAATATACAAGATACTGTTCCTGCCATCTAAAATATAATAATCAAGTCAAAGAAAAAACGAAAAAAATCAAGACACAATATGAGCAGTATTATAACAGTGATTTTCACACTGCCCAAAGAATAAAAATCAACTAAAGAAAGACACAACAGAGAAAGTGACTTGTGAATTGGAAATTAAACAATCACACTGAGTTTTCCAATCAGAGAACAGATTTCAATGCATGGAGACATGTTCAGATGAAAGCAAAGTTTTATATTACTGAAGCATAGGGTACAGTGTGACAGGGAAGTACATAAGTAGTAAAGGCCAAAACCAGTCAGTTTAGTTGGGTCATGATTAAGAAGGGCCTTGTATGCCATGTTATGGAGCTAGACTGTGAGCTGATAATAGTTGATTTTTAGACAAGTGAAATGATGGCAATGTGCCCATAGGTAGACTGAGAAAATGACTAGAAACAGAAACCATTCATCAACCTGATAATTCTTTATGACTCTGCTCCTAGAAGGCAGGCAGAGGACTCCTTAATTAGAAGGCCCTTTAAAACCCATGCAAGTAACATGAAACAAAAGAAGGAAGAATAACATACTATTTTCTAAATGCTTTTTAGAGTGAAAAGCAATAAACAATAATAATTTAATAAATTCCTTATAGGTTACAAAGCAAATTTTGTAATGGACTCATTTAGTAAAACATAATTTCACAGCTGGCAGTGCTATTCTATGAGCCTAAAAAAAAAAAAAAAAAAAGCCTTTAGCATATTCTAGTTTAACGTAATGAACTCCAAATAGGCAGGTATTCAAAAAATGTAATTTCATACTTGTTTAAGAATAATTGCTTGCTTGCAGAATTTCTGTGCAATGTTTGCAACTTGCTGTATTTTGGCAGGAATAACAAAGCCAAGTGCAGAGAGCTGACGAACTTCTCTCAGAAGAATCACCAAACGATCTGAATAATGCACTTTTAGTAATCCATCATTAGAATCCAATTCCATAATTCGACTACTAGCCTCAATACTATAAAACAAAATAAATAACCTGTTAAGTTTCATGTTCTCACTGTTTTGACTAATAAACACAATAGGTTTTTACAACTTTTCTGTACATCTAATATTAGCTCAAAGTAAAAAAAAACTTTTTAATTATAGCTTTTAAGTTGTGGGTTTTTTCCATATATTATTTCACAATTCAGATTTTGGAAACAAACTGCAATATCCAAAATAGATCATCACATTAATATTTCAACCAAGCAGTTTTAAAGTAAGAAAAATCAATCTCTTAACTTTCAGCTAAAACTCAAAATTGACATCACATCCACCATAAAGAAAAAATTTTGATTCATTTTCTAAAGGTATCTTTGATTTTTAAAAAAATCAGTGTACTTGCTTCTTTAGTACTTTTATTAAAACATCAATAATAAGGAATATCAAAATGGTAGGAGTAGAGATATTAAAACGTTTCATTCTTCTACCCTTTGTTTCACTACCTAATAATTGTCCTTTTTTGTGTTTCTTGTAAAGGCTATAATAGCAAATATTACTTTGGGGAACTCAAATCAGAATGGATTGTAAAAATGCTTGAACTAAATTCAGCAACAGGTATTATGCTTTCATCACCTTCCTTTAGGATTAGGTTTATATAATGCTGCTTTTTTTTTTTTTTTTTTTTTTTGAGACAGGGTATTGCTCCAACACCCAGGCTGGAGTGCAGTACAGCGATCATGGCTCACTACAGCCTTGACCTCCCTGAGCTCAAGGATTCCTCCCATCTCAGTCTCCTGAGTAACTGGGACAACAGGCAAGCCACCATGTTCGGCTAATTTTTTTGTCTTTTGTAGAGACAGGATTTCGCCATGTTGCTCAGGCTGGTCTCAAACTCCTGGGTTCAAGTGATCCTCTCCCACCTTGGCCTCCCAAAGTACTGGGATTACAGGCATAAGCCACCACACCCAGCCTCATTATTTCAAATCACCCTCACAATTAAGAAAAATTGCAGGTATTAGAAGGTAACTTACTGAAAAGCAAAGAACAAAAGTATTCAGCTTATTTAATAGCATATAAAACAAAATATAATAAAAAGTAGAACACTTTAAAATGGCTTAAAATGATGATTTAGCCCAAATTTTCCTATATACAAATAAATCATGTCAGTAAACTATTATGGTGACTCTTTTTGCCTTTATTCAGGATTGATCTTCAAATTTAGTTTGTATATACCAGCATTTCCCAAAATATGTCCAAAAACACACTGATGATTCTATGGGACAAAAAATGGGTCTAAAAAAAAAAAGGGCAGGAGGAGGGGGTTTCAAAGCCTAATGAGAAACGCTGTGTGGAAGGAACAAAGTTAAACAAACTTACTAACAGCAGATCTCAGACCGTTGGTATGCTACCATGCTAGTGAACCTCCACTGAAGCTCTAATGATAAAGTATGCAAATTTTCCAAAATTAGTTGACTAAAGCACTGGTTTTTTTTGTTTTTTGTTTTTCTTGCCTGGAGTATCTCTCATGTTTTAGGCTCAAAGTAGAAGGAAAAAGAGCTAAATGGCATAAAATTATAATCACTATGCCCTAACACCGTTCAGTTTCCTCTATTTTTCCTCCAGAGCCAGAATTCCAGATTTAAATTCCCATTAGAATTAATAAGGTTAACTCATTAATACATTCAATATAGCTCAATAAATATTTACCAAAGCCATATTACGTGGGGCACCATGAAGAAATACTCTGTCTCAAGGAGTTTAAAAATAATACAATTTTACAAAACCACAACATTGTTTAAAGTGTATGTGTGTGTGTGCATATAATATTAATGTAAACAGGTAGAAAAACATATAAATACCAATAATAAAAAAACATGGGGAAAGACTAATCCTAAAATGGGAATCCATAATTCTGGGGAACAGACAAGAGAAACAAGAGGGAAGCAGTTAACTAAATCATCAAAGTTTCCAGCCTTAATGAATTAAAAGTTGATGATCAAAAACAAACAACAAAAAAAAATTACAGGAGGAGTAGCAAGTTTGGAGAAAGGAAAAAGATAATTAATTCCCTCTGGGTATTTGGATTAATAACATATGGTTTTGGATTTTACAGTTTAATATATCTATACTTACCACAAACCAGATCTGGAATCAGATAAACCTGATTGAATATCCCTGGACCAATCATCAAATTGTTCCTGTTCATATAGTTTAAGCTGGTCTAAGAGATCTTTGGCACTTTGATGGAAACATCGAAATCCTGGCAAGTCAGATAAAAGAGCCTCTGCAATCTTGATAGTATCATCTACCTTAAAAAGCCAAATTACAGACATGTGCATTATTTAAATTCCAAAAAAATTAGCATAAAGTAAGGAGTCCCCTTCTCTGATCTGTGATTCAGAAATTATTTTACCTTTCATCTATAAACAGTGAAACGGAAGATTCACCAAAGAATATAAAAATATCAACCCCTACTTTGCTTCTGAATTATACAGCCGCAGAAGAGCAAACGCAAGAGGATAACCCATACAAGGCATAACTCCAAGAATAAAATGGAGGGTAAAGGGAAAGTCAGCCCTCAAAATATCTGTGCCCCAGTGATTTTCAGAGGAAACTCTGAGAACTTCAGCATTACTGCTAAACATGTTCAGTAATAATTTCGGCCCTTAGCAACATGCTCCGATTAAAAGCACAAATAGTAATTAGGCCAAAGGGAATGTCAATTAAGAGACATAAATGCCTTTCCTCCACAACTGTACAGAGAACATTAGAGCACCCTGGAAAACTGACTGACAGAAACATTAGGCAGAATATATCAGAAAATAAAACATCAAAAATACAAACCTGAATAAGCAGAAATGTCGAACATGCTGGCTTTTGTAATATTCCATGAGGTCTTGCTCTTACTCACAGACTATAATCAATTAACATTTATTGTACAAGTCTAATGCAAGACACTGAACCACATACCAGTTAGTAAGTCCATAAGAGTCTTAGGTCAATTTTAATAATATTAAAATAATAGTCGTTTACATCTATAAATTGTTCTCACTACCTTAGACCATGCCATAATTACCTTTTACCTTTCCTTTAACTTCCTTCCAACCTAAAGTGATTTAGTTACATAAACATACTTGCAGGTAAGACTTTGCAACTACTAAAATTTTACAATATTTTTTTTTTGAGATAGCATCTCTTTCTGTCGTCCACCATGGAGCACTGTGGCACAATTATGGCTCACTGCAGCCTCAATATCCCAGGTTCAGGTGATCCTCCCACCTCAGCCTCCTGAGTAGCTGGGACTACAGATGTGCAGCACCATGTCCAGCTCATTTTTGTAAACAATAATTTTTCTTTTTTTTACTCAGCATAAAGGATGTTTTCCTCCTGAATACAGGTATTTCTTTGGAACAACTGCAATTGGAATAAATGATGCATTATCTCTACAGAAAGAAGGAATAGAACCATTACGACTCCTCTGCATACTTTTTCAGTGTTCTGCATTTTGTATGAAAATTAGACAGACATGCCAAGGAAAACAGAGAATATATTTACTACAGCTCTAGAGTACCTTCTACATGCCTTAATTTAGCAGATTTTATAATTAGTACTCTTCATCTTTTATTAAAATAAATACCTTCAATTCCAACTGGCGAACCCAAACTATACTGTTGACAACTTCTGAAAGATTTTTGCCAGAAAGTGGTCCAGATGCATCACCAGGAATTCCTCGGCACCGATTCTCAAAGTCTAATCGAAAATCTATAAAATTTAAATCAAATAAATGATTACAAAGAATTAGCAAAGATTTCCTAAATAACTTCCACGTACCAAGCACTATGTCAGATGCTGTAGAAAGAAAAATAATGAGTTGGTCCTTATCCCCAAGGACTGTACCATGTATCAAATGAAACAGCGAATTATAATAACTTGTTAATGCAAAAAAATCTGTCATTTATAACAGAATAAGTAAATTAATCTTCAGCATGAAAATGTCAGAAAAATGTATCTTTAATCCTAAATGGTATGCAACGAAGAAAAAAGTAATATACAAAAATATTCTCTCAAGCAAACACTATAATCTCATAAACTTTTACCTTTAATTGAGTCCACAAGTCTTGCCAGTAAAGTTTCTCTTTCTAACATCAATTCTTTGCTTATAGTTGGACGCTTTACCAACTCTTTATATTTCAGGAATGCTTGAAGAAGCTAATATAAAATAAAATAAGTACATGTTCATCCCAACGGATCAACTCAGTAAATATATATATATTTTTATATATATATTAGCTTAAGAGAAATATTAAAAGTGAAATATCTCAATGTTTTACCTGCTGTGGACTGTCTTGAATTTCTGAAATATAATTTTTCAATTTTCCTGCTATTTTTTGTTCCGCAGGTGCAATAATCTTTTCATATTGAGACACCGCAGCTTTCCACAAGGGCTACATACATTAACAACATTGTTAGACTTTAGTATTTTTTAAATCTGTCTTTAAAAAGAACAACATAAACAGGAAACTGTACAGACATAAACAAATATATATACAACCTCAGTATATGGATTATATTGCACAGGATTCAGGCCAGTAAAAGGTTCAAATACTCGAGTGAGGCATATGATTTTCTCTTCACTGGCAGGTAGAAAATAGAGAAACTTCTCATGAATTGTTCTAATAGCCAAGACCTAAAATGAAGTATTAAAACAACAGAATTTATTTAAATCCAACCATTTGCATAAATAGGTCTAAAATCTAGATATATTGGGCAAGAATTTCTTTAAATTAGGTTTACTAAAAAAAGAAAAAACCAATAAAACTGAAACTCTAGTCCAGAGAATTGCCACGTGACAACAACAAAGTGATGCTCAAAAACATAACTGTTTCTTCACACTAACATTAATAAGTGTGCTCAAATCTAGTGAATATATAAGACCTAAACATTTTTAAACTATGTTTAAAGTTTAACACAGTTTAAAAAACTGTTTAAACTATATTTAGAGCTCATTTAAGTAAATTTTTAGAGCCTACCCTTAATATAGTAATAACTTCTGATTTTCATTATTCTGCATTAAATTGCACTTCTAATAATGAAATGACATGTTAACAGCCCTATTTTTTATTATTTACAAACAGCTGGGAAACACATATTGTATTTTGAGCTAAAAATTTCCACCAACAATCAAAAGGTAATCAAAAAAGTTAAGTGAAAACAATTCCTTCTATTTGAGTTGTAAATCTCAGTATAAACTCATGATTTATTTTTCTCTTGCTAAAAATTTACCTGTTAGCAGTTCTGTCTACTGAGAATGCCTAACAGCATTGATAACTAAGTAACAGCACTTCCCCTACAGACTGTTGATAAATAGCCCCCAAAAAGAATGAGGCTCCTTGAAAAAAATTACTAATTCTAGGTATGAGACATAAAATGTACAACATGGGCTGGGCTGGAACATTTTTGGGGGCTTGAAAGCTATCAAAGAAATACTGAAGTTGGCCAGGTGCAGTGGCTCACGCCTGTAATCACAGCACTTTGAGAGGCCGAGGTGGGCGGATGACCTGAGGTCAGGAGTTCAAGACCAGCCTGGCCAACATGGCGAAACTCCATCTCTACTAAAAATACAAAAATTAGCCAGGTGTGGTGGCGTGCACCTGTAGTCCCAGCTACTCAGGAGGCTGAAGCAGGAGAACTGCTTGATCCTGGGAGGCAGAGGTTGCAGTGAGCCAAGATCACCTCACTGTACTCTAACCTGGGCAACATATCGAGATTCCATCTCAAAAAAAAAGGAAAGAAAGAAACACTGAAGTCATGTCAAAATGGCATAGGAGGCAACTTGAAGGGGCACTCTCTGCCCAAAAACTGAACAAATTGAGTATAATAATAATAATAACTAAAATGGACTGAAACACATAAAATACAAAAATTTATGGGTTCATAATGACACTATCAAAAAACATTTCATTGGTTGCCAATGGAACTTACTATGACACTAATCTACTTAATGTTCATTGTTCTAAAGTGATAAAAAGAAATAAGCAATTATCTATACTGCCGTTTCTATGCAAACTATATTTCAAAGTAACAAAAAGTTGAAGAAAAAATTCTTCTTATAGAAAAGTCATGACTAATAAAAGCAGAAAAAACACCAGAATTAGAAAATCACCATTTTGTAACTCTTCATGATTAATGACTGCTAAAAGCATTTTTTAAAAGTTGGAGAGCATTATAATAAATTCATCAGACTGATCATACCTGAACCCTCACAGATTAAACTTAACAGCACTAAAAATGGGAAAACCTAATACCACATACGTCCTGATATAGCAAGGTGAGAAATGCCATATGGCATAAAAAAAGGGGAAACTTTTAAATTAAAAATGTTTCAGGAGACCTATCAACCAAATACAATGGGTGCACCTTGTCTGCAACCTCATTCAAGTAAACCAACTATTTACAAATTTCTGAGAAAATCAGGATAAATACATGCTGGCTAGACATAAAATGATATTAAGGAATTATCGTCATTTTGTTGGCTGTGATAATGGCATTGTGGTTATGTTTTAAGGGTGGAAGTATACAATATCTCTGCTTTATAAATATTCCATTTAAAAAAAAAGGTTAAGAGAAAGGCAGGGAAGACAAAGATGAGAAAAGAATTGAAAAATGTCAATGACTATTAAAATTGAATGGTGGATACGTGGACATTCATTATACTATTTTACTTTTTAATATGTTTGAAATATTTCATTTTTTAAAAAAGTTTTGTTTTTTTTTTTAAAAAAGTCTCTAATAAAGAACTATAGTTCTTCTAAGCAAGGCAGGAATGGTCAGTTTTGCAATCTTTAAGTAATCTCATTTTGCCTGTCCCTGTAAGCTGAATATATGTTCTTTACTGAAACTCATAACTTGTGTAAATTAAGCAATTGTTTCAAATATTTCCACTGAATACCACTTAAAAAGTTGTCCCAACTTAAAAACAATTGCAATAGCCAAAAGACCCCCTGAAAGCTTCCATACATGGTCAAGTGGGCTGATTATCTTTTTACAATAAAAAACAAAATATAAGCTCACAACTATCAAGTTGACCAGTCTCACACAAAATAAAAAGAAAGGATGTAGAAACTGGCCCAACAAGAACTTTAATTCCTATTCTCTCACAAAACTAATTTCCAGCAGATGTATAGTGCTTATTGATTATAAAATACATTTACAAACAAGTGAAGATACACTTTACATTTAAAGACAAAGATCTAGATAATCAAATTGATACCTCTTCAAGGCGTTTGCCAAGTTTGTCAAGTGTTTCTGGAAAATATTTTTCATTTTTCCATGGATGAGGAACATAGCGCTGCCACACCTGACCTGTTAGATGATTACAGACTATCACCCACTGTTCACAAATTGAAATACCAGCTTTCAGACTTTCTTTCACAAGATAATAAGGATCTTCCCACAGGTTCAAAGTTCCCAACTTTTTCTGAACAAACCTTCCAAATGAACCACCTAATAAAACATAAAGCAAAGAGTTTAAGGGAAATAAATGTATTTTTATAGAAAAATTATAAAATACATGCTTATGACAATATTTTTAAAATATACAAATTAGCCAACTAAGGATCTATGAAATACCACATGCATGTCCTTAGACTACCACTCTCAGTAACAAATATTTTTAAAATCACACATACATATTGCTTTGCATTTTTGCATCTTTCAATTTTCAATATACCATTACACCTTTTAAGTATAGAAATACATATGCAGCACACCAACGTGGCACATGTATACATATGTAACAAACCTGCACGTTGTGCACATGTACCCTAGAACTTAAAGTATAATAAAAATATATATATTAAAAAATATATATATATAAAATATATATATTAAATATATATATACATATATTAAATATATATATATATATACAATTTCCTCAAGGCTGCAGAGCCTACTGTATGGATACTGCATTATGTAAACAATCCCTAATTGCTATTTACTTCTGCTCATCACAAACAATGCTGCAATAAATATATTTGTACATATAACCTTATGTACTTATCTGACATTTCCTTATAAAATAATGACAAGGGTATTTTCTAGGTCAAAAAATTTAATATTAACAAATAAGCCTATATATTTTAAATAATTTTTCAGTTTATTTCAAAATAGCCTAAATATATATATAAATACTAAAAATCTATGTAAATTTGGTTATATCAATGGTTCAAAGAATTTGACACATATGATTTATACCACCCAACTATATACAAATATCTATTTAAATAATGCTACATGATTTGCTTTAAGAGTTACAGTATTACATAAAGGAGCATTTTAAGTAAGGACTTAAAGGATAAAAAGATAACAAAATAAGACAGGTTTTCAAAATTCCAAAAGTTCATTTTTTTACTAGTACCTATGATGTCTAAGAGATGCAACATTCGTGACTCAGGATAATGATCATGTTCTGTTTGTCTCCACACATCATCTACAACATCCTGAGTAGTCTCCACCAAGTCAACAACTTCTAGTAAGGATAGACTGTCCAAGTTATAAAACTCCTAGAAAAAAATGCATTAATTTTTAAACATAATTATATTTGTACCTTGGGTAATATAATCAAAATGTTCCCAGGCCTTTTCAACTGCCACAACTCTAATATTTGCCATATTATTTTCTCCTCCTTTTTCTAACAGCTTATAACTACTTCCATATGCAAATACCCTATAATTTCCCCCCAAACATCAATGTCATGAAAAGAAAGAATATATAAAAATTGTAAAAAGTCTACTCATTCATTTACACAATTGGCCTAATTTTCTTTAAATTTTGATTTTTTAAAATTTACCCATTAAAGGTTATCTCAACTCCACATATACACTACCCACTGTAGTTCGCATGTCTTTATTCATTCATTATTAATTCATAATATTATGTTTAAGAATAACACAACCACAGTCCAGATTTGTCATGCTATATTTCATCATTGTTACCAAAAAAAGCTTAAAACCATTTAAAACAGTCTATTAAAATATTATTGAAATAATAGTGGAAATGAGTAGAAAATTAATATATATTTGTTTTGAAAAGAGTAGACTTTTTATGTTCATACTTAAAATGGTCACTCAATTTCAATGTAGACACATAAAGGAATAATCAGTTAAATAAGCATAAAACTAAAACTTTTAGTATTTCAGATTACTTCAAAATGCTAATTTGAACAAAGTGAATACCCATTCAAAAGAACGTATTACCTGTGCATGGATAAACCTGTTATATTTGTTTTTCACTATATACCTGCAGAAAAGTAATTTTGGGGTTTTTTTTGTTTTTTGTTTTTTTCTAGAGATGGAGTCTCGCACTCTTGCCCAGGCTGGAGTGCAATGGCACGATCTCCGCTCACTGCAACCTCCACCTCTCAGGTTCAGGTGATTATCCTGCCTCAGCCTCCCGAGTAGGCGCTCACCACCACGCCCAGCTAATTTTTGTACTTTTAGTAGAGACGAGGTTTCACCGTGTTGGCCAGGCTGGTCTCGAACTCCTGACCTCAAGTGATCCACCCACCTCGGCCTCCCAAAGTGCTGGGATTACAGGTGTGAGTCACCATGCCCAGGCGTAATTTTGTTTTTGAGAAAAATATTTTATAGAGATTAGAATTTAAGTTTTGGATTTCTCAATTCATTTTACATATACAACTTAAAGTTTTCTCCATATAAAGAATCTATTTTGTTCACAATCATCAAGTACATTTTAAAACAGAAGAGAGGCTGTAAAAATTGAATCCCAAAGTACTTTTATAAGAAGCCCAATATATCACCATTTATGAATCACATACTCTTGCAATTGTTTCAAATAATTCTTTAAAATAATTGGCTCTTTCTTTACTAATCTGTTTATTTCCACGGTGAGCTTGTTCTATCCAAAACTGGAACTCATCGCTTGGTGTAAGGATACCTATAAAAGTCAAGAGGGGAAAAAAATGGCATAGAATATCAGAGAAAAAAAAATGAATACAAAACAGCAGAGCAGCAAAATATTTGAGTCATCTAACACATATGCTCCTAGCTGAGGTCAAATAGGTGACACTTCCTTATTGTTTCCTATTTCATACTATAAACAAAGTGTCCTTCCTGAAGTCTACTTAGTGCCACATTTTTTAGATCTGTGTGCTTTTTGTTAGTGATTCGCTGTTTAAAATGGCCCCCAAAAAAGTGCTAAATTGCTGTCTAGTGTTCCAAAGCACAAGAAGGTTGTAATGTACCTTACCGAAAAAATACATATACTAGATAAACTTCATTCAGGCATGAGTTACAGTGCTGTTAGCCATTAAGTCAATGTTAATGAATCAACAATATACACAAATTAAAGTGTCTTTAAACAGAAAAAAAATAATAAGGTTATGTATTGATCAGTTGATGAGATGTTATGACCAGGGGCTCAAAGGAACCTAATCTTGTATTGCTCCTAGGAACAAAGGTTCAATATTCACTAATTCAGTGTTTACAGTGTTTACAGTGACTTTATAGAACACAACTACTGCCTCGGCACTTTGGGAGGCCTAGTAGTGAGGATCCCTTGAGGCCAGTAGTTTGACACCAGCCTGGGCAATACAGCAAGACCCCATCTCTACAAGAACTAAAATAAATTAGCCAGCGGATAGTGGTATGCACCTGTAGTTCTAGCTACTCTGGAGGCTCAAGCTAGATTGCACATTATTAACAATTATATTTTCCTCTTCTCTACATCCACATAAATCTACTCATTTTTTAAAACCTATGCTCAGAGAAATTCCAAAAGTATTTGAAGAAATCTATGAAGAAATATGTTCATTTACTAATGTATTAATGAGACAATCATTTTGTACTCTCTTTTATTAAGCTATGGTTATATACCTCGTGTGTCATCTTCCTTAAATTTCAATTTTGTTAAGTTAGTGTCTGATCTTCGTAGAACTATACCCAACCCAGCTTCTAGTTCACTCAAAAGATTCTGAAGTTTGGGATCAAAGTTTCTGCTCCATTCCTGATCCTAAATAAAAACAGACAAGAGCAACCAAGATTGATCAAAATTTTGCTAATCAAATTGGCTTCCCAAAACACTGTCCAAAACCCCATTTTTCTTAAAGCCTGCCACTACCTCCACTTCATAAGAAGAATAAAAAGTCCTCTCAACAGTTAAAACTATGAAAAGCATTTAATGTAGAAATGTTGAGTTGATGTGGATTGCATTTTATACCTTTCTCCAATTTCTCTATTTTTTACCACAACTTACATTAAAATTTAAGTTAAAAAAAGTTAAGAAAAGATATTTTAATTAAAATTAAAACACTACTAACATTAACAGTAAAAAATAGATATTTATGTTTATATGAAAACATTTATCCAAATACCTCAGTTAAAAAAAATGACAGCTTCTTTTCTCACCTTTAACAACATTGGTGCGAATACTTGCCGTACTGCTTGGTAAAGAGAACTAATAGGTGACTCTAACATAGATGAAACAAGAATGTTATCATGTAGATTCTCATCAGTAATTACTTCAGGTCGCAGCTTGAAAAACACCAGCACTTTATCTTTTGTGTCACCAAACTCAATCTAAAGTGATAAATGATTTTTAATGTTATCTTCATAAAATTTAATATTTGAAAAAAATGTAGACAAAGTTCTATCACTATAATTATACCTCTTGGAAAAAAATAGTTACTTTAAAAATAAATATATTAAAACCAATTTATCTCTTCTTTCCTTAAGAATACTTCAGTTTAAAAACTTATTCCCACTTACATTAGATCATAAAGTCACTTTGATAAGTTATTTATAAACATAAAACAATATATACGTTGTTGACTGCTAACTATTCCATTCCAGTCAGATTCCATTCCAGCCAGATTCCATTCCAGCCAGAGTCCATTCTAGCCAGAATCAGTAATAGTACAGATGAAAGCTGTAGGCTCCAGGTACACAATGAGTAGTGTGCTTCTCTAGTAACCCAGAAAGTCTATAACAAAATGTAATTAATTACCCTCTTACTTAGAAAAAGCATTTTAAAAGGTGCTTTTAAAATTATACATGCACTCAAAACTACCAAAATGAACTTAAGTTGTCTATCTCCTGAAATTAACTTTATCTTAACTGAAAATTTTTCCTTAAAGAGTTAAGAGCATAAAACTTTGTTAAATTGTCATATAGCTAGATTATTTTAAATCGGAACCAGATGAACTCAATTGGAATTCACTACAGCAATCTTGTTTAAAATAGGTCAGTTCATAGTAATGAGTTCATTAGCTGAGAACTATACTAGTCAAAGGAAGTTTTTGCATTATACACACATTCTCAGTTATTCTCATTTCTTTTTTCAGGAAAAGAAGTCTACACATTAAAAAGCTTTCAGACAAGGTCACTGCTGTGTAGGAAGAACAGCTATGGGTCTCATGCCACTTATTTCTATCCAAATAATTACATTTTTGGCCACTGGAAAGGAGCTGAAACTTTGTTACTGCTCAAATGCTTATAACATTTCATGACACATGAAAAGTATATGAAATCCACATGTCAGTGTCCATAAAGTTTTATTAGAACATAGCCATTCCCATTCAATTACATGTATTATTACAAAGTATTACATGTCTGCTTTCACACTACAAAGGCCAAGTTGTAGCTGCTAATGGAGCCCTTGTTGCCTGCAATATTATCTGACCCGTTACAGAAAACTTTTTGCCAACCTCTGTCCTAAAGCATAAACCAGATCACAGCTCTCTCTTGCTTAAGATTACCAATAACTTCCTATTTCAATTTAAATGGTATACAGTGTCCTAAATGATCAGCCTGTGCCTTATTCTCCTTTCTCATCTACCACAATGTTCCTTCATACCATAAACTCCAGCAATCACTCTGGATTTTTTTTCTTGCCCCTGGAAACTAAGTTAAAACCCAGCTCAGGGCCTTGGTACTTACAGTTTCTTTTGCTTAGAACACTCTTCCCCCAGGTTATGCCTGCCTGCAACTCATCATTCAAATCTCGCTTCAAAGATAACTAATCCAGAGAGGGATTATCTCCCACCCTATATATCTTTAGTTCCCCACGCTGCCCCATCACTACTATAACATTATTTTTATCTTAACGGCACTTATCAATACCCAAAATTATGTTACATATATCTGTAGCATGCGTTTAGCCTACCTTTGTCCATTCCAATGTTACTCCTTTAAGATACGGACTCTGTGTTCATGGCTTTGTCCCCAGTACTAGTAGGTAGGCAATAAATATTTGCTGACTTATTAACTTATTGAATCACGCTAACTATCAGGCAACTAAAGTACAACTGAAGACATAACAAAATATTTTCAAATATGACTAAAAACCTGTAGCGAAGTGTACAACTAAAAATAACAGATACATCGTTGGGCTTTACTAGTAATAGCTTTAACTTAAAAAAAAAAAGTTCTACCTTCAACTTTCAAATACCCAAGCCAAGATACACTTTCACGAATCCAAACCCCTTTCCATCTTTCCTACTGCATTCTATCCGAACTTTCAGTGGCATTTACAACAGTGTGTCCTGATTTTATCATTTGCTGAGTATATGTCATCCTAAGCCACTGGAGTGAGTCTAGGAAAGGCAGAAAGCAGGGGGCTCTATCCTGAACTACGCTACCTATTGGAGAAAAAGAAAAGTTAACATTTAGGTTGTAAATTTTGTCCCTTACTTTCCTCAGCCATAAAATAAGAAAAAGAATAGTTCCTATCTTACAATGTCGTTATGGCTATTAAATGAACGAATACATATAAAGTACTTAGAACAGTGCTTGACAGAGTCTAAAGTGAAAATAAATGTTAGCTATGATTATCCATCCTTTTTATATCTTTGTAAACCCATCATGCCTGGCAAAGTGCCTTGCATGTACTGAGTTCAAAGTAAATGTTTATTAAATACAATCGAATTAAACCTAAGAATAAAGATAGTGAATAGGGTGAATGATTCAATCATCCTATAAAAATGCACTGAAGCCAGGCACGGTGGCACACACCTGTAATCCCAGCACTTTGGGAGGCCAAGGCGGGTGGATCACCTGAGGTCAGGAGTTCGAGACCAGCCTGACCAACATGGTGAAACCCCATTTCTACTAATTGCAAAAAATTAGCTGGGTGTGGTGGCACATGCCCTGTAATCCCAGCTACTTGGGAGGCTGTGGCAGGAGAATCGCTTGAACCCGGGAGGCAGAGGTTGCAGTGAGCCAAGATTGTGCCATTGCACTCCAGCCTGGGTAATACGAGCGAAACTGCGAACTGCGTCTAAAAAAAAAAAAAAAGGCACTGAATGTTTTTGCTGAGTGTCAAAAACTCTGCTAGACCTAGGGATAAGGGTGAACACCAAAGGAAGAGGTTTAAAATATGTCTTTGTTTTATTAACTTAAATCTATTTACTGAGTCCCCTTTAATGTGTCAGGCAATTTTCTTCTGTGTTTTTCTTTTAGGCTTATATATATAAGCCCTGATTGCAAATGCAACCCATTTTTTAAGCAATCCTGCCAGTGGAGGGAGCAGTGCAATTAATAAATCAGTATATCACATGATGTACACCAAAAAAGAATTCAAACTTTATTTTGAAATATATCATTTCACAAAAATTTAAATTCCTAACTAATCTTTCCCTTGGGCAATGTTAAAATCAGAGCCTGATCCAAAAAAGATAGACTAGAATTTGCCTTCCCCCCAAAAAAAAAACTCAAAAAGGGGAGAGAAAAAAATAAAAATAACTAAGTAAATGTTTTCTTTTTAGTTATAACGTATCTGCAGTCTTTCTTAAAAAGTAGAATATAGGCCGGGCGCGGTGGCTCATGCTTGCAATCCCAGCACTTTGGGAGGCCGGATCACTTGAGGTCAGGAGATGGAGACCCACATGGCCAACGTGGTGAAACCCCCGTCTCTACTGAAAATACAAAAATTAGCCAGGCGTGGCGGCGCGCGCCTGCTACTCGGGAGGCTGAGGCACGAGAATCGCTTGAACTCAGGAGGTGGAGGACGCAGTGAGCAGAGATCGCGCCACTACACTCCATCCAGCCTAAGCGACAGAACGAAACTCCGTATAAAAATTTAAAATAAAACACAATCTAATTGCTTCTATTCAGATGTATGGAAGGGAAACATGCTTCGGTCAGGTAGGATGCAAAGCTTGGAAACTACCTGCTTAAGCACGAGGCCAACGCATCTAAGCCAATAATGCAGGAGAAGTGGAGACAGCCTTGGGTTCCTGAAAAGGATCTGGTTGGTAAAGCTAAAGAGTGTGACCCGACGTCCCTCTGGCTGGGCCTGGGGACTTGAAGAGTGGTCAGGGGTCAGGCAGGAGTGCAAGGAACCGTACCGTGTTGGAAAAGGAGATTCCTGCGTCGGATCGCTGCACCCTGAGGAGCATCTGGTTGCCGTCATCCAAGAAGTTGTTGATTTCAAGACAGTTGCACAACAGTGGCTGATCCCAGAGTTCAGACATCAACCCGAAGTAATTCTGGGTAGTAGTGAAGATGAAGAGCTTCCGAACGTCCGCAGTCCCGTTCGCCATGATTGGAAGGGGTGGAGGGAAGTTGGGGGAAGGGGGAAGGAAGAAGAAACCAGTCCGGAGGGAAGTGAAGGGAAGAGAGGAGCTTTGCTCAAACCCGTAGCCCGACCGCGGGACCGCAGAGCTTCGCGGTTGCCAGGGGTAGTCGCTATGGCGACGGAGCACTACGGCGGCGTCGCTGGCGGCGCGCGGTGGGCGTTGCCCTCTCGGGGCACGCGCACGCAAAGCTCGCGGAGGCTATCGACCGCCTCGGAGCTCTTCAGCGGCTCCCTGCGGTCATCGATTGTAAGGGGTTCGGACAAGTTTATGTTGGCTCTCAAACATGTCTTTTATTCTTCTTACTGATTTCTTATCACGCATAATCAGAAGAGAGACATCTAGCCTTCAAGTACAGCAGCGTGATCTAGATTTAGGAGAGCTGGGTTCCAGTGCTCGCTCTCCACGTGCACCTGGTAGCAAACCAGTCTGTCAGCGTCAAGGTACACATCTGTTAAGAAGGGGAAATACTATCTCACAACCAGGGGTGTAGTGCGGATTGTAAAAGATTACTATTTAAAAATCGCTTTTTAGAGAAGCTTATAAAGACTAGGAATTCAATACAATGTTAATTTACTTTCTCAGTCGCCCTCTGCTCCTTTCTGTGCTGCTGCATTTCCCAACATCGTTTTTTCTATTATTAATTTTAGAATAATTTAACCAGCAATTTTTTATTGCAATCATTACCCGAGCACAACCATATTTGTAAAATAGCTAAAATGTAAAATGATACTTTTTAGTTTATTTTATAACAACCGCAACCAAATTCTGTGAAAATACAGATATGAAAACGGTCTTTGTCATTTTCTACTTCATGGCATTACTATAAACTACTAAATTGCTGGTCATTCATCCGAACATTCGTCAAACACTTTCTCAATTCAGTAATTCTCTTCTAAAAATATTTACTACATGCTATTAGGTTGGTGCAAACGTAATTGCGGTTTTTTGGCAAGAACTGTAATTACTTTTGCACCAATCTAACACAATTTGCCAAGTACCGAACTAGGCCCTGGGGACACAGTTCCTGCCCTCAGGAAGTTTTTGCTGTAGTCATTCATCACCTCAGCACTGGTTTGACCCAAGATCCTAGGGTACACAAACATATGCAGATTTTTTTTGTTTGCACTTAATAATCATAACCTCCCCTTAAAACTATACTATTTGAGAATTGGAAGGAGAGAGTCCTTTTATTTGCTGAGCAACTTAAGATTTTGGAGTGGGAACTTAAAAAAGCTGAACTGCTCTAAATTATAAAAGGAAATGAATGTAAATTCTCATGAAATATCCAAACAGTGAGAGATGGGAGTCTGGCCACTGGATGGGAAAACATCCAAACAGTGAGGTGGGATGCTGACCACTGGGTGAGGGAAAAAATCCTAACAGGAACCCAAGATGACTGTGTAGCTAATAAAAAGATTTTGAAAGCCAAAGTGACCACTATGGTTACAGAGTTTCCTGCTCTGCAATGAGCATTATCACTCTTACCAAGGTCTTCAGGAAAGTCTCCATTACCCACAAGTGCTCGGTTTGGTGAGTTGTTTTGGTGGAAATGTATGAAATGGCTGAATTGAGCTTCCATAACAATATGGTAAATAAAAAGGCAACACATGTAGGAAGATGAGTCTAGAAAGCAGATGAGATCATGAGTATGTGATCCTCCCAAGAATTTTTAGAACTCTTCAGGAAACTTAGGGCTTCCACAAACTATGAAATTGTGTTTGAATCAAGTTTAACACCGATCTCAAACATGGAAGCTCCCGTTGACATGTAAACCCCATGAAATAGAAGTTTTGTGTTTCCTTTTCACTACTATATACGAAAAATGAGGCACAGAGTGGGAAGAAAAGACAGATACGGACTTTATGTATTGTATCAAGCATACAATAAAGAAGAAAGAACCTCACAGATTAAATAACTTACACAAAAACACAGAGATGGTAAGTGGTAGAACCAAGATTCCTACCAAAATCCAATTCTGAGCCAATCTCTATATACCATATCACAGTGTTAGCCAGATATCCACCAAAATCTATTTTTCCCTTCCATAGCTAAGAAGTGGCTACCATCCAGGTGTGGTCATGTGACTAATTCTCACCAATAAAATGTGAGAAGAAGTAATGTGTGCGTCTTCAAGGCAAAGTTTTAAAGAAGTGAGAATACCTTAACTTTTGCCAGCTGGTTGCAGATAACAATAAAGCAACAGGGATGGCAAAACTTTCCAAGAGTAGGACCCTAGGATCCTGAATCACAGAGTGGAATAATGTCTGCAGTTGTTAAATAAGCAAGAAATAAGCTTTGTTGTGTTTGAGGCATTGTACATTAAACTGTGTGGGCTATTTTTATGGCAATTTAGGCTACTCTAACCAAAAGAGTAATTGATATCCATAGTGTAGTAATGATTTTTTTTTTTAATGTGGAGCATTGTCTTAGCAGTTGTCTGGCAGGTGGCATAAAAACAGGTAACGTGAGCTGAAGGGGAAGGCCCAAAACTTTCTGAGACAGGGTTTCCTAATTTTGTCCTATATGCCATTTCCCAAACTTTTTGGTGACCTTTTTATACTTTATACTTTAAACAATTATTTTTATACTTTAAAAAATTACTGCCAGGCACAGTGGCTCTCGCCTGTAATCCCAGCACTTTGGGAGGCTGAGGCGGGCAGATCATGAGGTCAGGAGTTTGAGACCAGCCTGGCCAATATGGTGAAACCCCGTCTCTACTAAAAATTCAAAAATTAGCCGGGCACAGTGGCGCACACCTGTAATTCCAGCTACTCGGGAGTCTGAGGCAGAAGAATAGCTTGAACCTGGGAGGCAGAGGTTGCAGTGAGCCAAGATCGTGCCACTGCACTCCAACCTGAGTAACAGAGCAAGACTCTGTCTCAAAAAAAATAAAATAAAAAAAATTACTGAAGACTTCAAAAGGATTTTGTTTCTGTAGTTTATTTCTATCAACATTTATTGTAATCAAAATTAAAACTGAGAAATTTTTGAAATATCTATCTATCTTAAAATAAGCATAATAAGACCATTCTTGGTAAAATAAATAACATTTTTATGAAAATAATTATATTTCTAAAAGGCAAAAAAAAATGATGAGAAGAATGGCATTGTTTTTACATTTTTGTTAAGTCCCTTTCCTGTCTGCCTTAACAGAAGACAACTGGATCCTCTATGTTCTTCTGCATTCCATCTCTTGCAATACGTTGTTTGGATTGAAGTATATAGAGAATATCCAGCCTCACACAGATATGTAGTTTAAAAATTGAGAAGCTAAAAAATGAAGATTTTAATAGATGCTTGTGAATATTCTTTTATACTAAACTAACATTCCACAAGTAGTAGTTTCTTAAAGGATAGTTAAAATTTGGAATTTGGAACCAGATCAATGAATATTTCATACTCAGTTACATTAAAATCCATTGGTTTTCTAGCACTTTGAATGTATCTTTTGCTCGCACATAATTTCATAACATCATACATTGGTCATTTAGAAAGTATTGGTTCCTAAGCTATGAAGATCTTCCAAATATTGATACATTTGCTTATATAATATTTTTAAAATCACATTTATTAATACACCACTGATCTTATAAGAAAAAGTCTTTTTAGAGACAGGGTCTTTCTCTGTCACCCAAGCTGGAGTGCAGTGGCTTGATCATACCTTGCTGTAGTCTCAAACTCCTGTGCTCAAGTGATCCTCCCACCTCAGCCTCCTAAAGTGCTGAGATTACAGGAATGAGCCACCTCGCCTGGCCAAGAAAAAGTCTTTATGTATGGAGAGGTTGTCAAACTTACAGTAGAGAATTTAAGTTATCCAAGATTCTAATTTTTGCAGGAACACTTGAATTTTATCATTGGCCACAAATAAGGTCAATTGTTTCCCTGGAAGTGATAAGCTCATTTCATTCATTTTTAAGAAAAATTTCTGCCAAATATCAAAGTCTGAATAACATTATTTTGTTATTCTTTCAAGTAAAAATGGTCTTCCATGAAAAAAAAACAGCTAGTTTTGACCATAACTCAGACAATCACAAAATTATTTTCCTTGAAACAGGCCATTATTAATACTTCAATGCAGCAGTGTTTTACGGTATATTATTTCATTGTTCAAAATATTGAAATGACTAGTACTGAAGGTTTAAGATTTAATGAAAAGAATAAATTTTACTCCTTCATCCAGGAGATTCTTAAATGAAACTGGAATCTTTTCCAGTGAATGCATGCATGTGAAGAATAGATGATTAGTAAAGCAGTTTGGTGCCCCACCCTTGATTTGTGTCAATTTGCCAGCTGTTTTAGCCACTGCATTGTTTTACATTGTTGTGTAACAAACTACTACAAATTTAGTGGCTTAAAATAACACCCATTTATTAGCTAAAAGTCTGATAAGTCAGGAGGCTGGGTGCTGCATGCTAAGGGTCTCACAGGCATAAATCAAGATGTCAGCCAGGCTGCATTCTCATTTGGAGCTTAGAGTCCTCTTATAGTTGATGCAGAATGCATTTTCTTGCAGTTGTAAGACTGAGGTCCTCATTTCTTTGCTGGATGTCAGCTGGGGCCACTCAGCAATTAGATATTGCCCACATTCTTATCCTCCGTCTTTTAAGCCAACAGTAGAGAACTTCCTAACACATCTAAGCTCCCTTGTGCCTCAAATCTCTTTTATAACAGCAAGAAGCCAGTTCCTTTTAAGGATTCACCTGATTAGATCAGGCCCAACGAATAATCTCCTTTTTCATTAACTCAAAGTCAACTGATGAGTAAACTAGGCACGGGAGTGATATACCGTCATATTCACAGATTTCCTCCACACTCAAGGTTAGGGGGCTCTTCAAAGTGTGCGTGCCAGGGAGCAGTGGCCTTGGGGCCTTCCTAGAATTCTGCCTACCGTAGCTGCCATTGCTACTGCACCATCGATGAAAATGTCAAGCATAGCAGCGGAGATACATAATGTTTCACTATTATTGTGAAAACAGTTCTGACCTTGTAGTTCCTCTGAAAATATTTCAAGTTCCTCCAGAAATCTAGCCTTCTAGATGATTTCTAAGGTATCTGCATCTATTCCATGAAGGTGAATATAGGATAAAGATTTTTTTCCATTTTACCCATTATGTTTGATAAATATTGGCAAATATGTTAAATATATAGTGTTGGTTATACAATATTGCCCTACTTGTTAAATAGATGCTTTGTAATTTAGTAAATTTAAAGGAAAAAATACTAGTCAAGTTGTTAGATAAAATGATACCCAGATAGCTGGTAAAACATTATTTCTGGGTGTATTTGTGAGGGTGTTTCAGGAAAAGATTAGTATTTGAATCAATAGACTGGGTAAGAAGATAGCCCTCATCAATGTGGGCAGGCATCATCCAATCCCTTGAGGACTCAAATAGAACAAAAAGGCAAGGAAGGGTGAACTTGCTATCTTCTGGTGGTGGGCCATCCATCTTCTGCTCTGGAAAATCAGAACTCCTAGCTTTGGGACCTTTTGACTTCAGAATTTATACCAGCAGCACACCATGTTCCAAGGTCTTGAGACTCAGGCTGAATTACACCACCAGCTTTCCTGGTTTTCCAACTTGCAGACAGCATAACTTGGGACTTCTTGGCCTCCATAATTGGGTGAGGAAATTCCCATAACAAATATCCTCTTAAATATTTATTTATACCCTGTTGATTCTGTTTCTCTGGAGAGCCCTGAGTAATACAGATCATTTAATATTCCTTCAAATTTATATGTTGAAACTTAATCCCTATCGTGATATTATTAAAAGGTAGGGCTTTGGAAGGTGATTAGGTCTTGAGGATGGAGCCCTCATGAATCAAATTAGTGCCCCTGTAAAAGAGGACCAATAGAGCTTGTTCACCCCTTCCATTATATGAGGACATATAGAAGGCATCACCTAGGAGGAACAGGCTCCCACCAGATACCAAATCTGCTGTTGCTTTGATCTTGGATTTCCCAGCCTCCATAACTGTGAGCAATAAGTTTCTATTATTTACAAATTACCCAGTCCAAGATATTTTATTGTAGCAGCCCAAACAAACAAAGACGATTCTCTACACTGAAATCTGATATTTACCTCAAATACTTAAATATATTTACCTTTACACATTTTTATGACTCTTTGTGGAATAAAAGGAATTCTATTTCTTCTGACTCTCTTTCTAAATCAGTCAGTAATTGCTAACTGTTCCTTCTGGGTCTAGCAGGGAGCCAATTCTTCCTGCAGTCAATTGCACTGAAAATATACAGGGAAAGAGGAAGGAGATATGTAAGCAAGGGTGTTAGTCTTCATTGGTTTCTAACATGTAGCTGAAGATATTTTTTATATCTGCACTCTTGTCACCCCCTCCCCCAATGATGTCCTATGATGTTATCATTGAAGAAGTGGGAGAATACCCAGAAATGTGATAATGTGGGCATGATTTTCACCTGTCTCCTCTAACAAGAGAACAAGAAACAATCATTAGAAGATAACAAAATCAAGGGGTAGCATTCCTTCTTGCAAATAATATTTCTGTGTTTCATTATGAGAACATCCAGACAGTATATTTAAATAGTTTAAATCTTAACTTTTCTATCAGATAATAAATATCATTTATTTGAATGTTAGTGCTTCATTATGTTTTAAAAATTACATATCAAAGTCACTTTTAAATACATTTAAGTATTAATAGCAAGGATTGCAGGAAATACAGCAAAGACTGTATTCAAACTGTTATTAAAACTGTTATCTTTTAAAATAAAAAGAATACCAGTCTTGGGAGGAATATATATATATATATATATATTCTTAAAAGTATAGCTTTGTGATGCTGTACAAGTACTTTTTAGTAAAAATTGTTTCTAGTTCTTGAGCTGTGGTTATAGTTACCTTATGTAAGAATTCTCTTAAGTAGTCACATTGCTTTTTGACCGTACATCTTACTGGTATTGAGGGAAAAGAGAACATGTGAAAAAGTAGATACTGGCTCCCAAAGTTTCTGCACATCACTTCCATTTACCTTTCATTGGCCAAGCAAACCACATGGTCACATCTTACTGCAAGTGGGCAGGTAAGTGAAACCATACCTTGTACACAAAAGGTGAGTTATAGAATATTTGAGAGTAACCCTAGTAACTACCACACTTTCTAATGTTTCTCTTTTTCTTTTTCTTTTTTTTTCTTTTTGAGACAGAGTCTCACTCTGTCCCCCAGGCTGGAGTGCAGTGGCACAATCTTGACTCACTACAACCTCCACTTCCCGGGTTCAAGTGATTCTCCTGCCTCAGCCTCCTGAGTAGCTGGGATTACAGGCACCTGCCACCACACCCAGCTAATTTTTTTGGTTTTTTGTATTTTTAGTAGAGAATACACCAGTTTCACCATGTTGGCCAGGCTGGTCTTGAACTCCTGACCTCAAATGATCTGCCTACCTTGGCCTCCCAAAGTGAAGAGATTATAGGCATGAGCCACCGTGCCTGGCCTAATGTTTTTCAAATTAACAAAAACAAATACTGCTTCACTAAGCCAAAGAAGCTGTGCTCTTTCTTTTTACTCTGCCACAGTAACCAGTAGTGTTCTAGACAGTGGCTGCACTAATGACAAAGAACAGAGTCTCCAGCTGACCTTTAACAGGTAGTATGAACAAGCAAGAAAATTGTGTTGTCCTCAACAACTGAGCTTCTTTGGCTTCTTTGTTGCTCTGGCCTAATCTAACCCATCCAGACTTCTGCAGATAGGGCATGCACTTGGCTTCAGCCATGGTACCCACCTACCCCGTTGTCTTACACCCAGGCCATTTCACTAATTTACATGGTCTACCAGGCCCAAAAGGCTTGCAGGTTTGTAAAGCTGCTTTATGTAATGCTGTCTTAATGAAATTTGTTGCACTTACACCAGATTATGTGATAATTACTTGTCTGGTAAAGATATTGCTTTTAATTTTGCCATTCAGGATAAAAAAGTATGCTAGTAAAACTGTGTTAAGGCCCTTAATATAAACAATTTCAAATCACATTACTAGTTAATCTTTTCCTCTATGATGATGCTAGTTATACATTTAGATGGTTTGAAGTTGCTTTCTTTACTGTGTGCATTATCTAGCTTATCTGTTATTTGCAGGAAGTAGTCTTGCCTGAATGTCCTTTAATGTCATTTAAAAAGAAATACGTACCCACTGATGTAAATGCTGAAGGGAAAGCTTTTTACACCATGGCAACTATTAATAAAGATGTTCACATAAATTGTTGAGTCTTTTTTTCCATCTCCATTTTTATTTACATAAAATGATTGTTGAATAACATGCAATTAAATCAGAACTTTCTGCTTCACAGCCTGGCATCTTTTTGGATAGATTCTGTGATAAAATAACTCTCTGACATCACAGCTTGTTGCTATGAGAATAGAACATCAAAAATTAGGCAGTGTCAACCTACTCAGCAGGGTAGCTCAGGATAAATTTAAAGTAAAAGAGATCAGGTTACAATTCTCATTTTTCAAGCATTGGCTTGGCACCTTTAATCCCTAAAGATATCTAATCAAATACGAAATTTGAGATTTTACACCTTTAAGGAACACATTCACTGAAACTACTGGAAATTATTCCTATGCTGTGTCTAGTGTTCTTGTCAGGAATGGGGCTGTGAAGTCAATGAAGACACGTTTGGGGAAGTCCTTTGTCAGAGAAAAGAGAGGAATCTCTAAGGTATCCATGTGATGCAGTTGCTTCCATCGGGTTGAAATATAGCTCCTGATGGTTCAGCAACCTACAAACTAAAAATTTAAGTTATTTGAGCTTCCTTCTGGGGAAACTCTGGGAGCTTGATAGTTGTTTTAAGGCTCAAAAAATCAGTGTTTTTTGGTCCAGGCACATGGTTTATTTAACAATAAAATTATTTTCCAAACTTAGTAGGCTTTCGAATGTATTTGCTTTTAGTTCCATATTCTAAATTCCATATTCTAGTTATTTCCTATATATGATTCCAAAGAATGATCTTTTTGCTTACTCATACCCAAGTCCCCCTCTCTCAACTTGATGGGTATCCTGAGGCTATATGAAACAATAGGTTTAAACGGCAAGGTTAAAACCCTTAGTCTGAGCTTTACCCAAAGATTCTATCACTTTTATTAACTGAGAGATCTTTCAGTGCCTTTATCACTTACAACTTTTTTTCAGTCTTATCTCTTATTACTTAGAAACTAGGAGCAGTCAGCCTCTCTAAACCTGAGAGACCCTTGATCTCTAGGATTCCTCAGTATCCTTCTATTCTTTCTGGAAGATTAACCAGCTCTCATCAGAGCTCATATTTTTCTTGTAAATCTTGCTAAAGGCAGACAACTGTAGCCAATACACACTATCACTCTGCCTCTAGCTATTTTCCATAGAGTTAGATTCTTACTAGGTTAATGGTCTCTCTTCTACTTCTCATTGGGAAGTATCACTGAATATTTTAACAAGGCATGTTAAAAATCTCTAGATAATCAACCTACTAATCTGTTTCTTTGCTGCCTGTTGCATGACCACTAATTCTATACAACATATTTTAAGTTTCTGCATGCAGCATCTTCATTCTAAGCACCAACATCTATATTCATGTGGTAGTTGTTACTGTCATCTAACAAATGTTTCTGGCTTTCCTCTTTCTTGGCACTTCTCCGCTCTTTTTAAAGATAGGTATGATCTTATGACTTGCTTTGATCTCTGAAATCTATGTAGAAGTAATATATCACATATACACAAAAATACTAAACGCCAATATGATTTACCATAGTTCTTTCTCACTGTCATGGTAATCATGGAAGCATAAATCAAGACAGTGTTTTTATCAGTTTAGCTCCCTGAGTAGCTTGGATGGGTAGGGTTTTCTCAATAACCTACCACGAACAAGAAATAAACTTTTGTTACGATAAGCATAGTGATATTTTAGTGTTTGTTACTGTAACATAGCCTAGTCCTGACAGATACAATCAAGGTATGGCAAACGTTATTATAACAACCCCCAAATTTCAGTGGCTTAACGTAAGAATTTTATTTCTCCTTCTTCTGACAATTCAATGTGGTACTTGGCAGGCAGTCTTCCATGTGATGATTCAGGAATCTAGACCTATTCCATTTTGTAGCTCCACTATCCCCTAGGACTATGGAATTATCTCCTGGGTTATTTAAATCTGGTTGATTGACAGGTAAAGAGTGAAGTCTCATGCAGCAGATGTATATGGCAATTCCTGACTTCAAGGGTGGATAGGAAATGTTTTGTTTTTTTTGTTTGTTTGTTTGTTTTTTGTCAGAGTCTTGCTCTGTCACCCAGGTTGGAGTGCAATGGTGCAATCTCAGCTCATTGCAACCTCCACCTCCCGGGTTCAAGTGAGGGAAATGTAATCTTTATTGTACCCTGGAATAGGAAAGAATGACTTTATCAACACATATCATTCTCTGACTAAGTGTGCTTTACAAATCTGGTGTTCCATTGAATGAACCTATAGGTCAATCGGGCCTTGACTTGTTTTTAAAGTGTATGCAGGGCAGATTTTATGCACATGCAACTTGTGCAATGTCACAGGGCATCATGCTTAAAAAGGCCTCTCAGTTGGTTTGATGATGGGTCCTCACAGAGCACTACATAATTTTTTTAACAAGAGGCTCTGCATTTTCATTTTGTTCTGAGTCCCACAAATTATGCATCTGGTCCTAAGTATAGGTTGTATCAGAAGGATGTGCAGTGGAAGCCTTAACTGCATATGAAATGTGAAAGAGTTCAGTGAAGTTATCTAAGAATTCTCTACTTGTTTAGCCTATAGAGAGATAATATCTTGAAAGAATTGTTATATTTTGTTCTATTTTTGTTTTCTCTATATTCTTGCTCATGATCATTATAGTCAGTGTCATTATCTAAAAGAAAATTATAAACTGTAAATCAGAAATGGAAAGAAATATAGTTGGCTTACTATTTACTTTAAAAACATACTCTTGAAATACCACAATATTTTAAAAAATGCTATTTAAACCAAAACTGTTGATTCTCATAAGCTATGTTTTCTTTATAAACAAGAAGGCTTTTGCAAATTACAAGTTCAGGCCCTGAAAGAGGAAGATCACAGATGCTATGCCATAACAATTGAAGGTCATCTTGGCTAGAAATAGAGTTCAAAAGTTGGATAGGGCTTGAACTTGGAAGAGGTCTTTGTTGTGAAACTAGAGATGAGGGAATAGGCCTCTGAGGAACACATAATGAGGAGCAGCATCAGCATCAAGAGACACCAACACTATCACTGTCAGAGACGAGAGCAAGGTGGGTGCCAAATAAATGTCCGACTCTTTGCAGACCATTAACTGCCTTTCTAAGAATAACTGCCTCTGCTGCAATCATGTGAACTGATCTTCTCTGTGCTGAGTGGTCCTCACCAGTGGCTTTCCATAACTGCTCACATGTTACCTATGGATTTTCCAAAGAAGTCATGCATAGCCATGGCCCAAGAATTTGCTGAATCCCATTCAAACTGCCCAGTGTAGATGACCCTATTTTCAATGGCTGAAAACATGGTTATTGTTAATATCCCTGCAACTAAAGATGAAGTCATCAAAAAGGTGGTAGTGATATAGATAAGAAAGCTCCATTATCAGAATTTGGGTGAGGATAAAAACCAAGACAACTCACTCCTTTTACGTATCTCCTTCATTGCAACGCCTTCCTTTGATTCTGTAAAATGCTTCAAAATATATCCTCTTGCTAAATATAGAATTTGATTTTTGTTTAATGTACTCTAAAGACCTCAACTGATACGTGGTTTTGTACCCTTTAGCAATTTTGATAACATTGTTATCAAAACATTTATTTAACATTTATTTTCTCATTTTTTTCAACACCACAATGCTGTGATGTCAGACAAGGCAAGTATTATTATTTTATCTTACAAAGAACAAAACTGAGTCACAACATGGTTAAATGTTTTATCAAGTTTGCAAAGTTAAAAAGGAAATTCATCAGTCTAATGGTGGTTCTTATTTTAACAAACCCTTTACACTATGCCACTTTCCAATGTTAAGTCTTGGAAGTGTATAGTGTGATAAATGCCTATTCAGCAAATACCAAAATTAGGAAACTACACTTAAGAACATACCCAGTGCAAGCTGTCTCCATTCAATTTTGGTCTTCTCTACCATCTCATCCAAACAAAAAGAGAGTTCTCTTCAGCAAGTCATCAAAACAATACAACCTCTGCCAGTAATTTTGGTTCTGTGAACTACTTTTTTTTAAGACAGAGTCTTGCTTTGTCACCTAGGCTGGAGTGCAGTGCCATGATCTTGGCTCACTGCAACCTCCACCTCCCAGGTTCAAGAGATTCTCCTGCCTCAGCCTCCGCAGAGCTGAGATTACAGGCATGCGCCACCACGCCCGGCTAATTTTTGTATCTTTAGTAGGAACAGAGTTTTGTCCATGTTGGCCAGACTGGTCTCGAACTCCTTGCCTCAAGTGATCCACTCACCTCGGCCTCCCAAAGTCCTGGGATTACAGGCATGAGCCACGGCACCTGGCCTGAACTACTTTTCTTCATTTGGGGTACATATTCACATATGGGAAAGCAAATCAGGTGTACTGCTTAATACAATTTCCCACCTGAGCACTTGTTCTTAGTCTTCCTGGTTAGGTTTCAAGTTGAAATTGCTCTGTCCTTGGCCAGCTGATATACAAGACATTGCTTTCTACCTATGATCCCACATCCAGAATTTTTTCGATTCTTACCTTTCCAAAAGCATCCAACCTAGGCAGCTCCTTTGAATCATTACTCTTTCTTCCTGTACTTTACTATTTTCTAAATTTTATTTTTTCCCATTCACTGTGACTTTTTAATAATTTATTTTAGAAGAGTTTTAATTTTGTGGAAAAATTGCAATGATACTACAGAAACTGCTCATATATCCCACACCCAGTTTCCCCTATTACTAATGTCTTACATTGGTATGGTACATTTCCCACAATGAATGAACCAATATTGATTTTTTTTTTCAACTAGACTTCACTTTTTGATAGGAAATGGTAAGTTTCTAGAATATGTGGGATGAGAGATATTGCTGTGACCACCTTTGAAGAATATAAACTGCCACGGTGAGGTATAAGCTGAAACCAATCTTATGCTTTTTCCTACTGCCTCTTTAAAACTGCACTGTGAACTCATTTTTCCCTATGCTTTGAACAAAATTTCAGTCCAGTCTCTTACTGTAGTAGGCTGTATTTACCTTTACTTGATGTTTCTCTCTGCAGGGGGATCATACATTCCTGCCCTCGTGACCTCAGGTGTAGCCATATGACTTGAACAGGATTAATGTGTCACTTCGGGGCAGAATCCTCAAGAGGCAGCATGGGATTTACCATGTTGTTCTTTCTCTCTGTCATGATGACAAGCAGTGTTCTAGGTAGTGACTGTTCCCTCAGTCTAGATCCCAGAGTGAACCACAGTCACAGCCAAGCTAAAATTGATGTGGTCTGGCACACCGCTTTAGGGTGTAGGGGGTAAGTGTCATGTGTTACACAGTTCTGCACCTCTGGGCCTCTCTAAAACACAAGGAGTTCTTGTAGGCTATACTGAAATGCCAAAACAAAAAATCCTGTCTTGACATCCCATTTCTACTATTCTCTTAGAGTTATCTTTCTGTAGATTTATGTGCATGAAAACATTTCAGAAAATTTTTAACTACAATGCTGTTTTAAAAATCAACATTAATATATGGAAGGGAGAGCATCTGCACAGATCCAGGACCACAATAACGCGGCATCCCATAAATCACTTAATGTCTGTGTTGCTTGTTATTCTCCCAAGTAGGAAAGTCCTATTTTAAAGAGGTGTTAAGAAAAACTAAACTATGTACGGAATATATAAATTAACACATCTTAGAGTACTATTTTTGGATACCTTGACAGAGATATAACTATTTTAAAAGATGTTTTTCATGGCTTTGTTTTATAACTCCCAAAAGCTAAGGGATGTATATGTGACCAAGATGCCAAATAGATAATAGAACTGGGTCTCAGTCTTCTTGCTTAATTACTTCCCTATTCAGCATAAGTATTATTATTGTTGTTTTTTTCCTACATCCTTCTGTATAATAGTAGGATAAGATGAAAGATAAAGGAAATTATCTGCCTTTCCTAAAGTCACTTGAGTGTCTTCTTTGGATCTGAAACCAGAACACACAGGCTTCTGCTTGAGGTAACTACTTCATCCCTCCCTTCCTTGTCATTACCTTCATTTAAAAAATTCTACTGCACGCCAGAGAGCCACAGTACTCTGTCATAGTTTGTTTCTGTATTAGAGGCATCTTTTTGATGCAAAATCATGTACTATGTATGCATTGGTGAGCAGCGGAAAATATTAAAGCCACATAACTAGGCATTTCTATACTTCTCATAGGTAGCAAGGCTATCAATATGCCCCTTTGTGAGAGTAATTGGGATGATGAAGAGCCAACTTTTGGGAATGGAGTTTTGGCAGTAGCAGTAGGTACTGACCAGACAAGAGAATGAAGAGGTAGATGGATGAGAATGGTCTACATGACCCAGAAATTGCCATCCCTTTAATATCATTGACAAGCATAGATTATGAACCCTAATTCCTATTCATATAATTCTCTTAAATGCAGATAGCATACATAGAGTCATATATTGCTTATTGACAGGAATACATTCTGAGAAATGTGTCATTAGGCAGTTTCATCATTGTGTGAACATCACAGAGTGTACTTATACAAACCTGGATGATATAGCTTACTACACATCTAGGCTATACGGTACAGCCTATAGATCCTAGGCTACAAACCTGTACAGCATGGTACTGTACTGAATACTGTAGGCAATTTTAACACAATTGTATTTGTGTATCTCAACATACCTCAACATAGAAAAGGCACAGTAAAAATACAGTATTATAATCTTAAGGGACTATCATCGCATATGCACATCTTGACCAAAATGTCATTACGTGGTGCATGACTGTATTTCTCCCTCCAGACTGGCAGCTCCATGATTGCAGGAGTCATGTCTGCCTTTTATATTCTTAAGCCCAGTAAAGCTCCTGGTTGAAGTGATGATTAAATATTTTTTGAATAGATAGACTAAATGAATACCACACATAGATCCAGCCTTTTGTCTTTTTCTCAGAGTATTCTATGGGTGTGAGTAAGCTCCTATCCAGTTACTGCATTCAGCTCAATGTCCAGGATTTCCAGGTATAGTGGGGTCTTCCTTAGTTCGAAAGTGATTCCTTATGGTCCAATGGCCTATGAACTAAGAAGCAATAATCTACTTCCCACTCTCGCCCAATAAATAATGGTGAAGAAGGGACACAATTATCACAATAAAAAAATTCCTATTTAAAAAAGAACAGAAGATGAGATGTGCAGTGGTCTTTGGTCTATAGCAATGCTGGTAGCCTGCAAGACAGGCATTATGAAATTCCCTACTCTTTGATCAGGCCCTGATTCTACTCTGTGGAAGGACACCCCTTTAACATCATCCTCTGAGATCTTTCTTTCTATCCTTTAGGTTTTATTCCATTTCTTTGGTCCTCCTTGGGAAAAGGGGCTGTTTAGCTTTTGCAGCTCACCAGTTGAAGAAATAAGTTTGGCTATCTCTAATAGTTTTGTCATTATCATTTATTTTGTGTTTTGTTTTGCACATTTTATATAAATTTTATTTAGGAAGAATATGCATAAAAATATCAATTTTTAAGTGTACAATTCAATGAATTTTGACAAGTATATATACTATTACTTCAATCAAGACATAGAATATGTTCATTACCCAAAAAGTTCCCTTGTGTTTCTTTGCAGTCAGTCTTCCCCGGCTTACTCCATCCCTGTCCCCAAGTGTCACTGATATGCCATTGCTATAAGTAAGTTTTACATGTTCTAGAATTTCATCAAATATCCAGCCAGCATTAACATCTCCAATTGCCACAGAGATGTTATCATATTGTTTAAACTGTTTGTGTGAGTCAAATTCAAATAAGAACTGCATACTGAAAATGATTGACATATCCTTTAAGTCTTTTAATTTCCTTCTCTCTCCTCTCGTCCTAATAATTTGTTGCAGAATTTGGGTCATTGTCCTGTAGACTTTTCTGACGTCTAGATATTGCTGATTGCATTGGGTATTTAACATGTTCCTCTGTCCTGTACTTTTTGTAGATGGTAGTTCTATTTAGAGACTTTATCTGATTCTGTTTTGATTTTGGCCTCAGGCATTTTTAAATGGGTTGAAGGATCATATACTTTGACATTCTTTTGGTTTTAAGTAACAGAGAATTGAACTAAATATGCAAAATAGTGAAATTTGTTGCTTCACATAAGTGAAAATTCCAGGGCATATCATGGATTTTGGGCTCATATCATATAATCACATCCTGGTTTTTCTATTTTTCTGCTTGATACTAGTCTCTTCTGAGTTTTGGCTTCATTCTCCATACCTTCTCTGGTTCAAATCCATAGGAAATAAAATTGCTTTCTGGTGGTTCAATTTTGTGTCATTGGCACTCATTGGCCTGGCCTGAGTATGTGTCCATCCTGAACCAATTAATAACACTAAGGAAATATGATATTCGGATTGACCAGATTAGGGTGCCATTGTGAGGGTAGTTTCACAGGAACCACTTCAACTATTACTCAAAGACTTTTAGTCTTCTCCCATCACAGTTGGTTTGCAGAGATTATTTTACCAACAGAATTACTAACGACTTTCTACTATGTCTTTACATACAATAACCATTATTTAAAAACAGTATTTCCACCTAAGTGGAGATGAATAGATTACAGTGTGTTTTGGGTCTAGGGGGAGGTTCCTTAGAACTGTCCCCCAAATTTCTCTCTACTGAGTCGCAGTCACCTACTGTCTCTTATCGGAGAGGTGAGCTCTGTGGAAATAATGGCAGAGCTAAGTTTCAATACAGGACAAAGTGATATGCAAAGGTAGGGAGAAGGGGGAGTGGGTGGCTGATCACAGGCCCATAAAAAAAACACGCAAGACACAGGGTGACAATGCATTTACGGGGTGGGAACACTTCAGGTGAGGTTATCGTGTGGAAGAGCTCAGAAGTGGAACTTGGTCTACTTTACCAGGTTGTTTTTAACGTCAACTGCAAAGTATTAGTAGTTTCACTTTTTGGCGGTGACTGCCAGCATCAGAGCGCGGTAGAAGCTTCATGAGAAAGGTCAGGATACCCTGGACAGGATACAAGAATTCCGCGGACTGCCGCAGTCGACGGGTCAGACAGCTTCGCTCTGCCTGGCCTACCTACGAGTGGCAGAGGCTAACCGGAACCACGCCCCTTCCCGGGACCGGCTCCGCGATTGCGTCACTTCCGGGCCTCAGCGATTCGCCTCCGGGTTAGGCTGAGCCTCTTGCTTGCTGTGACTGGTGGAGCTGCCGCGCTGTCCGCGTTATCTCCTCCCGGTGAGAACGAACCGCAGTGTCCACCGGCGAGGAGCCAGCCCTGTCCCGGTCAGAGAAAGACGACGAGGATACCTGGGAGCGGGCGGCGGCCGGGCTGGGCCGCGCCGGTGCGGGCTGGCGACTCTGCTCCTCCGCTTGCTGCTGTCTCTGGGAACTGGGTGCCAGCGCTGAGGGGCTTCCAGCGGACAGGGACCCCCTTCCCCGGCTCCCCTGCCCACCCTGCCGGGGAGGGCGGAAGATGCCGGTGAAGAAGAAGAGAAAATCCCCTGGGGTGGCAGCAGCAGTAGCGGAAGACGGAGGCCTCAAAAAGTGTAAAATCTCCAGGTACCATCTCCCCCCACCCTTCAAGCTTCCCTCCTCCCTCCTTTGCTGGACAACTGGAGGAAAAGGAGTCGGGCCCGGCCTGCCGGGCTGGGGCTGGAGACAGGTGAGGCCCCTTTGATCGAGCTAGGCTGTAGGTGCCGAACACCGCGAGTCTCCGCGCCCGACCCGACCTCGTGTTCGAGTGTGTGCACGCTGGCGTTTATGGAGAGACTAGAAGAGCCGCCCACGTTAAGAGTCTACGTGCCCTGCAGGGTGGGGAACAGATGCATATGTAAATTGCGCTTCCCCCCACCCCCACCCCCACCCCACAACCGACCCTCGATCCCCTACTCCCGTATCGCTCCTCTGCCTTTTTCTAGACTTAGAAGTGAGTACATATCCGCAGAAGGGTCACTTCTAGAATTTCTTTGTAGAGTGTGAAGAAAGCAGAACATAAGGAATCTTGACAACTGTCTTGGGAATGGTAGAAAGGAAAACTTGTATGCTATAATTGGCCTCCATATTTAGTATTTGGAGTGGCCTAACCCGGAAGGTCCCAGCAGGAGGCCTTTTAAATTGCAGGAGCCCCATTTTCTGGAAGTATAGTGCCTCACCTATGCCAAGTCCCTGTGTGCAGAGTTGGAAAGGCCCTGCATGCTTTTTGTCTTCTAGCATTCAGGACGCTGTTAGCTCTCAGCATAAATTAAATAATTTGTGAGCTCTTGTACTCTGTCCTACTGGTAAGAAAGAAGACAAGGCAGAACTATATAGTAGTAGCTCTTTGATCCCCTTGTAGCATATCATGGAGGCATCACAGCAAAATTTATGCTACAAAAAAACTGCAATTTTGGTTTGAGAAATGGTTTTTTTGTTTTTTTGTTTTGTTTTGTTTTTCTGAGACGGAGTCTTCCACTGTTGTCCAGGCTGGAGTGCAGTGGCGCGATCTCCGCTTACTGCAACCTCCGCCTCCCGGGTTCAAGCGATTCTCCTGCCTCAGCCTCCTGAGTAGCTGGGATTATAGGCGCCCGCCACCACGCCCTGCTAATTTTTTGTATTTTTAGTAGAGACGGGGTTTCACTATGTTGACTAGGCTGGTCTTGAACTCCTGACCTCGCGATCCGCCCGCCTCGGCCTCCCAAAGTGCTGGGATTACAGGAGTGAGCCACCTCGCCCGACTGAGAAATGCTTTTTTAAAAAATAACCATATTAGCTGCCTTTTCATCAATGGTTGGCACTTGATATGACAACTTCAGATGCTACTATTGAAAGGAGACTGTAGCCAGGATTATAAGAAGGAAATAATGATAGAGCTCTCCTTAAAGAGAGATCTGCTTAAACTGTGAGGTAGATGACTTACATAGTCTGCATCTTCTTTTTTGTAATTGGTCGACTTTTTTCCCTCATTACTGTGTTTTGGTAAAGGAGTCTATGGAGTATTAGGCTATTAATGTGAACGATGATACATACACCTCTTGTTTGTCAACATTAGAATTTGACATGGTTACTTTAGTAGCTCACATTTTTATAAGATACAGGCAAATTATTATTCATTTTTGTACTATATCATGGCCATCTTAAGTATATAATGTATTAAAATTATTTAAGTTAAGTACATTAAGATAGCTGAGCAGGCAGTATTATTAGAACTCAGGTGATACTTTGCTCTATCAATTTAAATTTTTAAATATGATACTCTTACTTTACTCAGTTACAGAAGTTCTATCATTTCTATATCATTGTGGTAGGGTAATTATTTGAGTTCCTTGAAAAAAGTTTCTCTGAAGGCCATTAAATTCTAGAGGCCATTTTGAACTTACCAAATTTTAGTTATTTTATGAAAAACAATGAAAATGATTTTATGAAAAAAATGAAATAGAATGAACAGAACCTAGGATTAAATAGCCTTGTCCCAATTATTTGGACTATTATTAACTTTTAGTGTTTTTTTGTTGTTTTTTTTAAATCTGTGTAATTTAATATACCCTTAGGTCCTAAGTCATCATTTATCTTTAAAAATCTATTTAAGCTTAGGTGATAAAACAACTCTTAATATAACATTTTATTTTGAAATATTGATTCATTAAGTATCAAAATATACTTTGTAAGAGTTTGTTTTCAAATATTTATCTATTACACACAAATAGAATTTCTATGCAAATCAATAGAATCATAATAAATATTTATACTTTCCCACCTACTAGGTTGAACTTCTTTGTAGTCTTTTAAAATGTGCGGAAATAACTTACTGATATTTTTGGATTTTGATACTGAGTGAAAAGGTATTTGGGTTTTGTTAGCCGATAATTCTTATGTATAGACTACTGTTTCAAGTTGCAATTACTTAACAACTTCAGTTTTTTTCCAACAATGCCAACCGAAGAAAAAAAAAACCTTTGTTTAATGTGAATGGAAGTTGTTAATTTTGAACTTAGTTTTTCTCTAAGAGTTGAGATGTGATAAAAATCTTAGGCGTCTGTGTGTTTTCTAAGCTATTGCAGATCCCAACCCCCTGCTAGACTAATAAGTGGAGAGGAACATTTTTCAAGCAAGAAGTGCCTGGCTTGGTTTTATGAATATGCAGGTAATGAAATTAATATAAGAAGATACTAGTCATATGCTTTAAAAAGTTTATTTGCCTTATTCATTTAACAAATTATCTGTTACAGGCCTGCTATGTGTTAGTGCTGTGTACTGGGATGAGGGTCAGGACTGAAGATTGTGGGTAGACTAAAAATTTGTTGCCAATTTAGGCTGATATTTCTTTAAATATATATTCGGTATATATTTACTGGGAGGGAAGAACTCATTTACTATTAATAAAACGTGTAAACAAAGATTCATTTATTTACATCTATTGGCTAAAGTAGTATTCTGGAAAATAAAAGGTACACAATAAAACATTTTTGTATTTGATATTGTGGAAAACACAAAGTACATAATAAAACATTTCTATTCAATATTCTCTTTTTGAAATTTTTCTGAACTAACATTTTCTGAAACTTTTGGGGAGACATAGTAAAAGATTTAAACCCCTCAGTTATAATTGTACAACACATTTACTTTTTAACAATTATCATTTAGCCATCCACTTCTACTAGAGATGCAATAGTAAGAAAATAAATAGACTGATATTAATACAGTGTGATAAATACTATATTCAGAAGATACACTGTGAGAGTTCATAGGAGGGATATATAACCCAGCTTTTAAAGTGTCATGGGAGTTTTCTAGAGGAGCTAACTTAACCTCAGCTAAATCTTGTAACTGGTGGATGAAGAGCCCTAGGCCCAGGATGGGGTTGTGTTTTAGAGGCGAAAGTCAAAGCCAGCCAGAGATGGGGCTGAAGAGTTAAGCAAATATATGCAAAAGAACACTTATACTATCTCATAAATATATATGGAATTTTTTTCCCCTTAGAATAGTTTTGTTTTTTTGGAGTTATTGATTTTAAAGCTTTTTTCTTTTCCTTTTCCTTTTTTTTAACCTGCTTCACTTTTTTTTCTCCTTCTTTTAATCACTATCATTCTCAAAATGTTTGTTTAAAATGGAAGTGTATATGTAGCTATTGCCTTATATTTAGTGCTCATCCACATTAAGGTCTAAAGTAGTATACTTTGAACTTGAGGTATAAGTTTAGGCTAATTGTATGGAATGTGAGACTATTTTGAAAGGGGGGCAGTAACTTTACTGTTGGAATCAGCTGAGTGATCCCAAAGTACAATTTTAAAATTGTTTAGTAACAGAACAGATTCTTTCTAGACCAGAAATAAATGCTATTACTGGCATCCCAAGACAACCACTAACCCAATTTAAATGAAGGGAATTCATTTCTTACTGACCTCCATTTAAAATGTTGACCCATTATCCCAAATGCCAGTTTTACTGGTATGAATGATATATAATCAAAAGGTCACCCATCTTATTTCACTTATAAAGGTTACTAGATACAATAGAAATAGAAAATATTTGCCTCAACTAGGAACTTTCCTAGGTAGTGTAAGATTCTAATTAAACATTTGTTTACTATATTAGCATTTTTAATAGCCAACATAATAATTGCATTATTCCAGGAATTGTCCCAGGTATATTATTTTTTCTTGTGACTGTTCTATTAAGTAGGTAGTATTATCACCACCTCCCACTACGACTTTATTTTTTGAGACAGGGTCTCACTGTGTCGCCCACGCTGGAGCGCAGTGCTGTGATCATGGCTCACTGCAGCCTTGAGCTCCTGGGCTCAGGCCATCCTCCCACCTCAGCCTTTCTAGTAGGTGGGAATATAGGCATGTGCCACCACGCCTGGCTAATTTTTTAAATTTTTTGTAGAAATGGGGTTTCAGCCGGGTGTGGTGGCTCACGTCTGTAATCTCAGCACTTTGGGAGGCCAAGGTAGGCAGATCACGAGGTCAGGAGATCGAGACCATCCTGGTTAACATGGTGAAACACTCTCTCTACCAAAAACACAAACAATTAGCCGGGCGTGGTGGTGTGCGCCTGTAGTCCCAGCTACTTGGGAGGCTGGGGCAGGAGAATGGCGTGAACCCAGGAGGCGGAGCTCACAGTGAGCCGAGATAACACCACTGCACTCCAGCCTGGGTGACAGAGTGAGACTCTGCCTCAAAAAAAAAAAAAAAGAAAAAGAAAAAAAGAAATGGGGTTTCACGATGTTGCCCAAACTGGTCTCCAACTCCTGGGCTCAAGTGATCTAATTGCCTCAGCTTCCCAGAGTGGTGGGATTACAGGCATGAGCTGCTGTGCTTGGCCATACCCTCATTTTATAGATGAGAAAACTGAGACTTAGATTAATTAATTTGCCCAAGATCATATAGTGACAAGAGCCAGGATTCAAACCCAGGTCCTTCTGATTCTAAAGTCCATGCTTTTAACTACTATGCTTTTATGTATTTTTTATTTAAATTTTATAATGTTTATATATAGTTATAAACATTTTATTATAATAGATATTATTTTATGTTTATTTTTTATTTAAGCTAATTTTCACTTTTGCAAAGAAAATATTGGTACTCTTGGTTAATTTCTGTCATCCATTCAATAAATATTGAGCACTTGTTTTGAGTCAGGCACTGTGCTGAGTGCTGGATATATAGTGCTGAGCAAGTCAGACAAGATCCCTGCCTTTGGGGGACTTGCCTTCTGGTGAGGAAGACAGTCAGTAAACAGGTATGTAGGCAAGATAAGTACAGATTGTGGGGAGTTATAAGGATAATAAATATGGTGAGGTTCAGGAATAGAGAAGAAAGAAGGGTTAGATGGACTTTCAGATAGAGTGATTAGGGAAGGCCTCTCTGTGGAGACCACTTTGTGCAGAGACCTGATTAGGGAGGAACCATTTGTTTGCCAAATAAACAGTAACTGTTCTGTCTTGAAATGGGTATGTCCGTATTAAAATGAAGCCAATAATTTTGCCTACTGAGAATAATACATGTAAAGCCCTTAGCACAATACCTGGTATATAGTCAGAACTCAAATGTTATTATTATTAAAACAGTAATAGCATTACAGCATCAGATTTACTGGTTGTGTGTTTTTTACAGTGTTCCAAAATTAATGACTCTTACGTAGCTCATGTTGAAGGTGCTGTGTCACTGAGAATTTTTTTTTTTTCCCCCTAAGCATCTGTTATGGCTGGCATGGTATTAGGCCTTGCAGATATAGCTAGGAACATTCCTTTATGGTTATAAAGAAATCAGGAAATTGATGGTGTTTTTCTTTTAGTTTTGAAAATATCACTAAACTTGTTACTATGGTATTATGTGTGATAAGGCTGTTGGTTTTGTTCTTTCACAAGACCTCATTCTTGAGTGATATTTAAATTAATGATTCAGTAATATACTGGCCTATGGTAATTGAAAACATGGAAAGTGAAAGGGCAGTTTTAAAGTCTCATAGAGTCAAAAAATAAGGTTGGAATTGCATAGTCCTAATATAGTACCTAGCTGGTGGAGTAGAGTGAACTCATAGTATGAACAAAATCATTTCTATAGCTTCTTCAATTGAGTGGAAACCTAGTTGTCCAAAAGAGTTAATTAAATTTAGCTCCAGAGGTTTTACCCAGAGAGTAGTTTTATTAGAAAGATTGGAAGCAATGGTATTGGAAGGATTAACATTTTGCAGTCCGGGGAAAGCACATTAGTTACAGACCTCGCTTTAGACTTAGATCTGTTACTATTTACATCACTTTGGCAAAGTCAGTTAACATTTACAGACCTTATCTAAGTTATAAGGTATTATATCTCTATGTAATCTCATTTGACTTGCTTCTAACCAAATTTTAATTAGTAATCACCAAGTAATCCTCCAGTTTCTAGGGGGGCTATACTGATATTTCTTTTTTATTTTTTATATTTTTTGAGACAGAGTCTCGCTCTGTCACCTACGCTGGAGTGCAGTGGCGCAATCTCGGCTCACTGCAACCTCTGCCACCTAGGTTAAGTGATTCTCCTGCCTCAGCCTCCTGCGTAGCTGGGATTACAGGCACCTGCCACCACGTCTGGCTAATTTTTGTAGTTTTAGTAGAGACAGGGTTTCACCATCTTGGCCAGGCTGGTCTTGAAATCCTGACCTCGTAATCCATCTGCCTCGGCCTCCCAAAGTGCTGAGATTACAGGCGTGAGCCACTGCTCCTAGCTTATGCTGATGTTTCTAGACATCCTCTAAAGCTTTCTCTTTGAATCACTAATGGCAACTTTGAGAGCAAGTATGTTTTCTTGATGCTTTAGAAAAATTTACAATATATTTACATCGTGGCTTTTAAAAAAACCGTTTGTCTTTTCCCTTAATTTTTTATTTTTTATTTTTTTTTGAGACAGGGCCTTGCTCTCTCCCAGGCTGGAGTACAATGGCGTGATCATGGCTCATTGCAGCCTCAAACTCCTGGGCTCAAGCAATGCTCCCACCTCAGTCTCCTGAGTAGCTGGGACCACAGACTGGCACCACCACACAAGGCTATTTTTTTTTTCCCTAGAGATGGGGTCTCCCTGTGTTGTGCAGGTTTGTCTGGAACTCTTGGGCTCAAGTGATAATCCCACCTCGGCCTCCCAAAGTGCCAAGATTACAGGCATGAGCCACCGCGCCTGGGCCTCTTAAATTTTCAAATCTGATTTTTGTTTTCTTTCAATCATATATAAGAATACATACTCATTTATGCATTTTAACACCTTTATTGTATATGTATGCCTTTTAAGTTATAAAATTAACACATTCTCATTTAAACAATTCTCCAAATATGTAAAGGAAGAGAAAGTGCCCTATAATTAATCACCCCCTTCACCTTTTAACACGAGTGCATTGTTAGTACTTATTTAAACCTAATAACACTTAACATGTTACACAAAAAAATTAAAAAGGGTTTTGGCTTCAGACCAGTATTAATGTCATCTTAGCAGCTTGGATCTCAGGCAGCAAGAATGTATTGACTTTATGTTGTGCTAGTAACCTAAATATGGTGCTGTCAAATTTACCTGAGCAGCCTTGGTCTAGTCTATGGTTTATAAAGCTGGAGGATTTTCATCCTTGAAAAAGGAAAATAGAGGCTTCTCTTGACTCTTAAGAATAATATCTCAAGATTATATTTTCAAAATCCCATAGTGGTAAACACATTTCTCATATTATTACAAAATTTGTTTTATTCTTATCCAGTCACAAAAGAGACCTAGTGATGATGTAATTACTATATTTTGGGAATCTGATAACATTTTGAAAAAATGATAATTGATGTATTGATTTATTAATGTTGCTAAGGGTGTAAAATAAGGAACAAGTTAAATGCCAGTAATTAATTTTTGGATGAATGATAGACACTAACTAATTGAAAGATTAAACTTCTGTTTCTACATTAAGGTGACATCAATGCTTGCTGTCTGTTTTAGAACCAAGATGATAAGGAAAATAGCTCTTTCTGGAAATGGAATGTAGTAATTTCCATAAGTCATTATTTTCAAAATACCTTTGTCTTTTTCAATAATTAAATTATATTTGAGTGTATTTCAAAAGGGTAATAAATGGCCTGTTTTATAGGTAAATATATTCCCCTTCTGATTACTGTATTGAACTTTGTGTTGGTTCTGATATTCCAGTAGATTAAGAAGCTCCAGCTGCCTTATGTTTTTTCATATTCATGCATTGTCAAAAATTTTATTCAGAGTAGGCTCTCAGTGAATTTTTTTTTTAATGGATTGGTTTGAGTTTTTGTACTAACTTGTGATTGATACTAATGGAGTATTTCTTTGCTGCTTTTTAAATTTTCTTAATTTCATATTGTAATCTGGTGTTCAAAGAATACTTCACAAATTTTAAATTTTAAATCCTGTAGCAAATATTTATACTTATCAAAGCTATGCCAAAATTCAAATTTAATTATTTGCAAAATATTATGGTGTGTTCATGGGTACCTTTAGCATGACGATTTATGTTTTATGTTGATATTATAACAAAATATGTTAATTATTTTTGTCTTTGAAGGTCCTGATGAAGTTGTAGGGCCAGAAGGAATGGAAAAATTTTGTGAAGACATTGGTGTTGAACCTGAAAATGTATGTTTTATTTCTAAGTAGAATGGCATATAAGTGGGGTATAGCATATTCGTAAATTACTAAAAATCGAGACACTTTAATCTTGTATGAAGATTTTATTTCTTCATGTTTAATATTGTAAATTTGCATTTAAGGTATTTTTAATCAGTTTAAGTTGGGCAAATGTATTCTTTCTTGATACAAATGTTATATGTAATAGAATAAGAGATTCTACCTTCAGAAACTGTTAGAACTTTTTACTTTTAAGAAATTGGCACATCTCAATTTCTTTGTATATAGTTAATAATTCCAGAGGTTGTACTCTTTAATAGTTGAAGGATGGAAGTAGTTGTGTAAAAATGCTCTCCATGATAAATATAGACATGATTATCTCTATGCTGACTTTTCCCCTATCCTTTATGTTCTGTTCTTTCCAGATTATTATGTTAGTTTTAGCGTGGAAATTGGAGGCTGAAAGCATGGGATTTTTTACCAAGGAAGAATGGTTAAAGGGAATGACTTCATTACAGTAAGAAATTTTTTTAAAAAACAAATTTGATGGCCTATTTGAAGATCTTAATTGATATTTTGTGCTTCATAATTTTCAGGAGTAAGGTTTCACCTTAAATCAAATCTGTTTGATCTATAACAATTAGTTTGGGGATTGAAAAAATTATATTGTGGTCTTGGGCAAATATATAGGTACCCCATGTTTTATATTCTCTAAGAAAGAACCTTAGTACAGTCCTATTAAAATTCCTTGATTCTCTTGGTGAGTGACTTAAAAGTCTATGATCAAAGACCTATTTATTTACAGGTTGTTTGAGTATAAGGATTTTCCTCTCTCAATACAGAATTCTACTATCGAAGGAGTATGTTCGTTGGGCAGCCCTAAGCTCTAGGGCCTCCTCTCCCTTCTTCACTTTAATATTTGACTTTAAAAATTTGAAGATAGAGTTACATAACCCTTTTATGATTTCTTTATTGCCAAGTGAATTTCATAAAGGACAAAAGTAGAAATGTTGTAACTGCTCCCGTGCAATCTTTACCCATTTTATAGTCCTACACTTTCAGTTTAGGATCCTGTCTTTGAACATTTTCATAAGTTATAGAATTGCATCTTATAAAAATAATTTGATTTTGGCTTTCCTGAATGAAGTGTGCTTAATTTCAGAATCAATTAGTGATTTTGTGTTAATTGTATAGTATCATGTTTCTAGTGTTTCTGCAGGGTATTAGTTATCAACATTCTAAAATAGAGAAAGCATTAATTTATAATATTTTTGAGGCAAAAACTGGGGCTTAATTAGCTGTTTGGTTTCCTGTTGTGATTATGCTTTCATTAACACATGTAATTATTCTTTATTTTTTGCCTGGCCTTAAATTTTTTTTTAAAGTATTTGTTTATGAGGCACTAAAATTTTTAAATTTGAATTTTCAGTGCTAATGGTTTGTAATTCTCTTTTTTAACTGACATTAACATGTAGACACGTGGATATTTTATATATTTATTTTTGGGTAAAAGCCTTTGCTCATATGAACCAAATCATAATTTCTTGAATGGAATATAAAATCAACCCTCCCACTTCCATTTTTTTAATAGTCTGAGACCTAGAGAGGTTACGAAAATATTTGGCACAGTTCCTTAGTAGTAGTGCTTAGTTAGAACCTAGAATTCAAATTTCCTGATTACCAATCTCTAATACTGTATTCCTACTTTCTATATAAATCAACATTCCTTATAAAATAGAGGACCATTATTTTTAAATTATAGCATTTGCTACCAAGACTGAATTCTGCCATACATTTAGGTGTCATAATATGCCCAGTTAAATACATTGATTCTGAAATTCTTTGGATTATTTCTCAACATTTAATTAGCTTTTTGGAGAAAGATTAAATAAATATACAAAAGAATATGCAAATAATATAGGTTTTATACAACTCAGTGTGTTTTACTAAAATTTATGTTGTAATATGGCTTATTAATGTAAGACATTTGTCATTATAAGTGCATTTTGGACTCCTCCTCCTCCTCTTTAAATACTGCTTTTTGAAGTATCTCAGCTAACAAGTGGCTGTATATTTTTAAATCTAAAAGTTTCTTATTTATGTTTTTGCATAAGTTGATACAATATAAAAAGTCTTTATAACAAAAATGTGTAAGCACAAAGCATTTCTAATATATACTTCTGAATAATCAACATCATATGGTCTTGCGTACAAGAATAGAAACTGACTAGCCCATGAGCATGTTTTTTTTTTTTTTTAGACGGAGTCTTGCTTTGTCGCCAGGCTACAGTACAGTGGCGCGATCTTGGCTCACTGCAACCTCCGCCTCCTGGGTTCAAGCGATTCTCCTGCCTCAGCCTCCCGAGCTGGGACTACGGGCGTGTGCCTCCACGCCCGGCTAATTTTGTGTATTTTAAGTAGAGACAGGGTTTCATTCACCATGTTAGCCAGGATGGTCTCAATCTCCTGACCTTGTGATCCACCTGCCTCGACCTCCCAAAGTCCTGGGATTGCAGGTGTGAGCCACAGCGCCCGGCCAAGCACGGTTTTTATTAGCACACCTTTCCTGTAGGAAGGTCACAGGGTATACAAAATAAAAGCAATTATTCAGCACTTAAATTTGTCCCAGAAGTTTCTCTTTCACTGATTTATTATTCCTTTCCCATTTGCCCAGAATAATATACTGTAGAGCCTTGAAGCTACTGAGGAATGCTTGAAGTGAGCATTCTTGACCTGGAAAATCGTTGATTTTTTTCCCTCATGATCTGGGTTACCATGTGAAATACAAAGTGTTTTTCTTCAATTGGCCAAGTCTTATTACTCCTTGAATTTTCTTATTAAAAACTTGCTATGAATAAAACAGTTTGAAATTTAAACCAAGGAAGACAAAAAATCTGTGTCTTTAGAAATTATTTGTTGCTTAGTATACTTTGTGTTCTATATAATAAACATAATCTTAAAATATAAAACTTTATTATCAGTTCTCTCTGATATTTTTCATACTTTTGTGATTTCACCTGGGCATCTAATGATCTCTTAAATCATCTTAATATAGTCATGAGTTGTTTCAATTAATTAATTTTAACCCATAAAACTCTTTATAACTATGTTGGTCTGTTAAAAAATAGAAACAGTCTGGTAGTTTAAAACATACACTGTGTTAAAGGATAGTAGACTGTAATAATCATGATTAGTCATCTATATTGTGTAATGCTTTATAGTTTGCAGACTACTTTGTTAACATTCGTTTGTTTTCTATTCATATAGGCTTTCTATAACTGAATTGGCTTTCCTTTTTGTGTGAAAGAATTTGTGGGTATATGAACTGGATATAACTGGCCTAGACTAGCCATTTTGTAAGTTTCAGGGGATGAAATTGCCATATGCTTTTCACATCTATTCTTCCATGTAGTTTTCATCTTTGTTTAATAATAGCCAAATTTCCTTGCAAATCTAAGGTGTTAATTTTTTTTTTTTTTTTTGAGACAGGGTCTGGCTCTGTTACCCAGACTGGAGAGCAGTGACACAATCATGGCTCACTGCAACCTAATCTCCTGGGCTCAAGTAATCCTCCCACTTCAGCCTCTCAAGTAATTGGGACCACAGGCACATGCCACCACACCTGGCTATTTTTTTTTTGAGAGACAGGGTCTCACTATGTTGTCCAGGCTGGTCTCAAACTCCTGGGCTCAAGTGATGCTCCAGCTTGTCTCACTATGTTGCCCAGGTTGGTCTCAAACTCCTGGGCTCAAGTGATCCTCTAGCCTTGGCCTCCCAAAGTGTTGCAATTACAGGCGTAAGCCACTTTGCCCAGTATTAATTTTAATTTAATTTTGTAGATATTTATATTAGACACCTATATTATGTAAGGCACAGTATCACTTACTGGTGATCACAGCGAGGAATAAGATGCAGCTTTTGTCCTTTAGTCATATTCTACTAGGTCAGGGAAAACATTACAATACTGTAACCCAGCCAACCTTTTTGGCACCAGGGATCAGTTTCGTAGAAGACAGTTTTACCATGGATGGGGCTGGGGAGAAGGGAAGGATGGCTTTGGGATGAAACTGTTCCACCTCAGATTATCAGGCATTAGATTCTCATAAGGCGCATGCAACCTAGATCCCTCGCACGCACAGTTCACAATAGGGTTCGCATTCCTGTGAGAATCGAATGCCGCTGCTGTTCTGACAGGAGGTGGATATGCTGGCTCACTCGCCTGCCGCTTGCCTCCTGCTATACAGCCTGGTTTCTAACAGGCCACAGGCTGGTAATTATGCTCAGCCCAGACATTGGGCACCTTGCTGTAACCATAAACCAAGGAGAACGTGACATGTGCTAGAGTGGAAATACAAGATACTATGAAAGCACAGATGAGTAAGGTTAATTTCAGCTGAGTAGGTAGGTAAATGTAGGTGTGGCCTGTGAACTAGAACATGAAGAATGATTAGGATTTTGTTTGTTGAGGATACAGGAAAATGTTTCAGAAGAGGGAAATTGTGAGCAGGACCTTGAGGAAGGAAAGCATATGTTTGAAGGAAGTAGTTTGATTTCTTAAAATTGTAAAGTACATAAAAAAATTGCCAGGATAGGTTTTGAATTCTAATATTTTGAGTGATGGCTTCACTGTAGAGTGCTTTAGCTAATACGTTGAGAGAGTTTAAATCTATGTTACAGATATTGGGAAACCATCAGAGATTTTAAAGCACAGGAATTTTAAAAGATTTGGGGGATAATTTTCAATGAGCAATTGTTTTTAATATTTTAAAGTCACAGTCTCTTTTGAGAGTCTTATGAGAACTATGGACCTCGTTCCCATTAAGAGGCACATGTACTGCTAGACACAAAAATTTGATGTGCTCTCAGGAGGTTATGGAATTTCTCTTCCTTCGTCTATAGATACGAGGTTTCAAGGATACTTGGCGAGTTTTTGTTCTGGCATAGTGTACTAGAGTGGAGGTCTTTTCTCATATCTGCTAGCTGAAAGTCTGGTGTTGGAGCAAGGGTGAAATACTATACCAGTGGAGAAAACTGAATATAGACCTTTGAAGAGGACCGTACTTGATTATGATAATGAAAAGGACAAGACAAGAGCATCTGACAACAGTGATAGTAATTAAGCTGCCTGCCGGTAGGTTGCAGTTTGTAAATCTAGTCTCTATTGAGCCCCGGACTTTGAAGTGTAAAAGGAATGGCATGGCTTGACCGTCTTAGCGAGAGGGGAATAGGGAACATTTATATGATTTTTTTTTTTGGTGGGGGTGGAAGAGGAGAGTAAATGAAATGCCATCGTGTGTGATGTGACTGTCATTCATTTAGCATTTGGGGCCCAACTACTAATTGCCATTAGCATCCTTTCCCTCTGTTCTCTCTTAAGGTCATTATGACAATTTCAAAATGCCCCTCTGCACATTTTCAAATACCCCTAGAAGTAGATGGTATTGTTCTGGTTGAGAAAGCTTATTTAGAGGAAGTTCTAAATCCAGAACTTTGTGACACAATTCTTCGTGTTACACATCAATGTGTCACAGCACAGTCACTGGGACTTATGGATTAGGAAGAGAGCCTCACTTACATCTAATACATGCATGAAACTTTCTTCTCACTTTAAAGGTCTTTAATGAAACACAAGTTCAAAAGCCTCCCTTTGTAATCAGTTGCTTAGCAATACCAGGAAATTAATTTCCGAGTCCTAACGTTGAAATTAATACCCATTTCTTCTCTTTCTAACTACAGTGGCCTTGGAGAATGGTGTATTGTATTGTGCCAGTGTTCCCTCAAATCTGTGTGGTTTTATTTGGTTGTTATTTGGAAAACTATCTCTTGCTTTCCATAGTACGCTAGTTAAGTATGCATTTCTTTTTATTTCGGAGGAAATATTCTTTTTTCTAAACTTCCCAATTTCTGAGGTATTGATGTTAGTATTTTGGAGCTAGATTCGATATAAAAATTGTATTGCTGTTAGTAACTGCTTCGGTATGTTGGTTTTGCCAGATGTGTTCACAGTCTTCATGATACTGTTAATAAATATGGAGGTTTGTGCTCTTATTCTTTTTTTTTTATTTGAGACGGCGTCTTGCTCAGTCTCCCAGGCTGGAGTGCAGTGGCGCGATCTCGGCTCACTGCAAGCTCCGCCTCCCGGGTTCACGCCATTCCCCTGCTTCAGACTCCTGAGTAGCTGGGACTACAGGCACCCGCCACCACACCCAGCTAATTTTTTTTGTATTTTTAGTAGAGACGGGGTTTCACCATGTTAGCCGGGATGGTCTTGATCTCCTGACCTCGTGATCCACCCGCCTCGACCTTCCAAAGTACTGGGATTACAGGCGTGAGCCACCGTGCTGGCCTATTCTTTTTTTACTACAAAAAAGTCTGTTGGATTCTTTCTCTGCTCAAGATTTACAGTAGACCATTAGGAATGGTATGACGTAGTTTCTACCAAGGTGTGTAGTGTAGGTGATTTTTAATCCATTTGCCTCAAAAGAAGCATATCAAGGACTGTGCTAAGCATTTAACACATGGATTCTCATTTAATCTTTATGGTTGTCCTATGAAATTATTATTGTTACCATTTTAAAAATCAGATAACTGAGGCTGAAAAAGGTTAAGTAACTTGCCATATAGTTGTCCTATTAAATTATTATCGTCGTTTTAAAAATGAGGAAACAGGCTGAAAACGGTTTAGTAACTTGCTGAAAGCCACATGACCAGAAATAGAGAAGCTAGAATTTTAACCAATCTGTTTGACTTGAAAATTTGTTCTTCCCTTCACTTTATTTCTTAAGCTTATTGAAATTACATAAGTAAGATAGTAACTTTGTGTACCCATGAAATGTAAAATATTTGGAAAATATTATAATATCTTGGATTCTTATCTCCTTAGTGACTTCTCAGTCACTATGTGCTTTGTGATTTTGTTTGATCTACCATTTACCACTAAGTTTCTCCCAGATAGGAATTTTGAAACATTATATAATTAAATAAATATATCACCTACCCTGTGGTTTATTTTTGGTGGTCACACTTTTATTTAACAAATATTTTTGGAGTGCTATATGTCAGGTCCTGTGTTATGCTATGACAGTGATTTTTTAAATCTGATGGTAAGGAAAGAAAGAACTTTGAATGTCAGGAGGCATCCTTTATCTTCTTTGCCCCCTTAACACTTAAGTCTCAAGCCTGTTAAGATTCTGTGTGAGATTTTGTATGAAAGATGTGACTCACATTATGAAGACTTCATCTCCATATTTTCAAACATTATAGTGGCATGTAATCTGAGAAATTTGCTTTGCATATCCCCATGGTAGAAGTCAACTTTCATTAAAGCATTATTTTTCACATAATGAATAATTTTTGCACTAACAGAAACCACTTAGTGAAATAGTAGGTAATGAATTTCTAATAAGTAAGAATAAATTTTTCTTGTTTCCTCATCAAGCATATTGTGCATTCATTCATATATAAGGAATTCTGGTTAACTTATCCAAATTTTGATTTCCATTTCTGGCAATATGGCTACTAAATGTGTGGAGAAACCATTTCTCATGTAAAACGCTTAAATGCTGGATAACATATAAAAACATCTTGGCCAGGCCCGGTGGCTCACGCCTGTAATCCCAGCACTTTGGGGTTTGAGGCGGGCAGATCATGAGGTCAAGAGTTTGAGACTAGCCTTGCTGACTTGGTGAAACCCCGTCTCTACTAAAAATACAAAAATTAGCTGGGCATGGTGGCATGCGCCTATAGTCCCAGCTACTCGGGAGGGTGAGGCAGAAGAATCACTTGAACCCCGGAGGCGTAGGTTGCAGTGAGCTGAGATTGCACCTCTGCACTCCAGCCTGGGCGACAGAGTGAGACTCCATCTCAAAAAAAAAAAACTTTTTAAAAGTACACTTGGACTTGCCTGTAAGGAAAATAATCAGAGGCCAGAAATGATGAGTGATGGTGATTACATAGAGATCTATGGAGCTGACATTTACCCTGAAGAAACCTACCTATTCCTAGTCACCTAGGGTCTGGTTGTTGACATGTCATGCATGTTGAGAACAGAGGACACATTTCAAGCAAGACCTTAATAGGATGGGAATCAGATTAAAAACATTGATGACAAACTTATGCAATAAGTGGAAATTTGATAACCTGGGCCTGGTTTTACACACAATTAGAGGTAAAGGGCTTCTACCTGAGAGAATTCCTCGTCCTCCATCTTCTGTCTTGCAGATTTGGGGCTGGAATTCACTATCTGACCCAAGCCAAAAATGTGTTTTAGAATAAGACTCCCCTGTTTGTAATGGAAGCAGTTCTTCCATAGAGAAATTTTACACAAACCTCAATTTTTGCAGAAAAAGGTTCCGTGATCACTAGTTTATAATCAGAAATCACTAAACATTGAGAAATCAATCTTAAAAAATGAACTTGAGAATCAGACCCTTTAAGATTAATTTATGAATTATCACAATTTCCGCATAAGACAACTCTGTGGTTACAGAAAAGAGAATGGTCTCAGATATCAGACTCCGAATAATTAAATTTCTGAAAGTGAAAAACAGCAGATTAAAAACTCCTGGGCATGGTGGCTCACGCCTGTAATCCCAGCACTTTGGGAGGCTGAGATGGGCCAATCACGAGGTCAGGAGATTGAGACCATCCTGGCCAACATGGTGAAACCCTGTCTCTACTAAAAATACAAAAATTAGCTGGATGTGGTGGTGCACGCCCATAGTCCCAGCTACTAGGGAGGCTAAGGCAGGAGAATCGCTTGAACCGGGGAGGTGGAGGTTGTGACCTGAGATTGCACCACTGCACTCCAGCCTGGGGACAGAGCGAGACTCAATCTCAAAACAAACAAACAAACAAACACTCAGCAGATGAGATAGAAAGAAGATAATGTAGTTGACTTGTAAGGATCAGTGATCTACGATATCTAAGGAGATTAGTGCAGAGAGGCAGAAGGGGAATGTGAAAGAGATGCTAACGAACATGGAAGATAAATTTTTTTACTGTTGAATTTTCAGAGTTTGCTGATACTAGTCTTTTGTTGAATGTGTGTTTTGCAAACATTTTCTTACATTCTATAACTTCTTTCATTCCTGTAACAAGGTCTTTTGCAGAGCAAAAGTTTTTGATGATGTCCAGTTTATTAGTTTTTCCTTTTATGGAGTGTACTTTTTTTTGAGAATCTCACTCTGTTGCACTCCAGTGAGTTGTCTCACTCACAGTTTGCACTGCAACCTGTGCTGCGATCTTGGCTGACTTCAACCTTCACCTCCTGGGTTCAAGCGATCCTCCCACATCAGCCCCCCGAGTAGCCACACATGCATGTGCCACCATACCTGGCTAATTTTTCTATTTTTTAGTAGTGACAGGATTTCACCATGTTGGCCAGGCTGGTCTCAAAATCCTGACCTCAAGTGATCTGCCCGCCTGAGCCTCCAAAAATGTTGGGATTACAGACATGAGCCCCCGCCTCAGTTTTGATGTACTTTTGATTGTACTTTTGATGTCAAGTCTAAGAATTATTTGCCTAGCCTTATATCATGAGAATTTTCTCATGTATTTTTCTAGAAGCCTTCCATTATTAAATTTTACATGTAAGTCAGTGGTGCATTTTGAATTAATTTCTGTAAAAGCTATGTAAATGTTGGACATATTTGTGTACATTTATTTCTGGGTTCTCTGTTCCACTGATGTGTCTTAACCTTCTGCCAGTACCACACAGTCTGGATTACTGTGGCTAAATACTAAGACTTGAAATCAGGTAGACTTATGCATCCTGTTTCAAAATTGTTTTAGGTATTCTAGTGTATTTGCTTTTCCATATAAATTTTAGAATAGTCTTTTCTTTACAAAAATATCTTGCTGAGATTTTGGTTAAATAGCATATAAATTTGGGGAGAATTGACATTTTTACTGTTTTGAGTCTTTGAATACTCTTAATATTCCTGATATTGGTAATTTTTGTCTTCTCTCTTTTTTTGTCAGTCTTGCTTTGAATACTGGAAGATAGTAATGTCTCTTCATTTTTTTAGGTATTTGATTTTTTTCATCAGTTTTGTGTAGTTTTCGGCATATACGTCCTGTACATCTTTTGTTAGAATTACACCTAAGTATTTTATTTTTACTTCAACCTGTTGTAAATGGTATTTTACATTTTAGTGTCCACATGTTCATTACTAATATATAGAAATACAATTGATTTTTATATGTTTATCTTGTATCCTGTGACCTTGCTGAACTCACCTGTTCGTTCTAAGATGTTTTCTGTATAGACCTTGGATTTTCTACATAGTCATGTCATCTAGAAATAGGGACAGTTTATTTCTCTTTTCTGATCTATATATCTTTTATTTCTTTTATTATTATACTTCAAGTTCTAGGGTACATGTGCACAACGTGCAGGTTTGTTACATATGTATACATGTGCCATGTTGGTGCTGCACCCGTTAGCTCGTCGTTTATGTTAGGTATATCTCCTAATGCTATCCCTCCCCCCTCCCCCCACCCCCCGACAGGCCCCGGTGTGTGATGTTCCCCACCCTGTGTCCAAGTGTTCTCATTGTTCAGTTCCCACCTATGAGTGAGAACATGCAGTGTTTGGTTTTCTGTCCTGTGATAGTTTGCTCAGAATGATGGTTTCTAGCTTCATCCCTGTCCCTACAAAGGACATGAACTCATCCTTTTTTATGGCTGGATAGTATTCCATGGTGTGTATGTGCCACATTTTCTTAATCCAGTCTATCATTGATGGACATTTGGGATGGTTCCAAGTCTTTACTATTGTGAATAGTGCCACAGTAAACATACGTGTGCATATGTCTTTATAGCAGCATGATTTATAATCCTTTGGGTATATGCCCAGTAATGGGATGGCTGGGTCAAATGGTATTTCTAGTTCTAGTTCTAGATCTAGATCTAGATCTAGATCTAGTTCTAGATCCTTGAGGAATCACCACACTGTCTTCCACAATGGTTGAACTAGTTTACAGTCCCACCAACAGTGTAAAATCATTCCTATTTCTCCACATCCTCTCCTATTTCTTTTTTTTGACTTATTACATGAGCTAGAACTTCTACCACTATGTCGATAAGAGTGGAAAGAGTAGGCATCTTTTCCTTGTTCCCCATCTTAGAGAGAAAACGTTGGCTTTCACTGTTATGTTACCTGTAAGTTACTTATTTATGCTCTACGAAGTTGAGGACACTCCCCTCTATTTTTTTTTTTCTGAGTTTTATCATGAATGGATGTTAAATTTTTAAAGTGCTTTTTCTGTATTAAATGATAAAATTATGTGGCTTTTTTTTGTATTTGCCTGGTTTTGGTATCAAGTAATACTGGCTTTATTAAATAAATTTTTCTTTTTTTAAATATTTTAAATTTTCTTAATCTTTTATGTTTTGAGAGAGATGTGGAATAAGTCTTTAAAGGTTTGGTATAATTCTGTAGTGAAACCATCTGTTCCTGGAGTTTCTTTTTTGAAAGTTTAAAAATTTTGAGTTCAATTTCGTTAATAATAACAGGTCTACTCAGACTACTGTATATTGTATGTGTTGTGGTAGTTTGTGTTTTTCAAGGAACTTATTGGTCCATTTCATCCAAGTTTTGATGTAGAAAAATTGTTACATATGTAGAATTTTTATATCTATGTAAAAATCTGTGTAAAATCTCTATATAAAATATTTACATAGATATAGATTATATCTATATAAATCAATAGATATAAAATATCTATATATAGATTATAGATCATATAGATATAGAGTATATAAAATTATATATAGATTATACCTGTATAAAAATCTTTATATGTGTAGAAAAATTTGTGTGTGTAGAGAGTTGTTCATTGTGATCCCTTACTATCATACATTGTATATGTTCATTGTGTATCCCTTACTATGCTTTTGATAGCTGTGGGTCTGTAATAATACCCCATTTCATTCCTGATATGGGTAATTTTTGTCTTCTCTCTTTTTTGTCAGTCTTGTTAGAGAATTGTCAATTTTATTGATCTTTTCAATGTGCTTTGTTGCATTGATTTTTCTGTTTTCAATTTCAGCAGTTTCTGCTCTTATTTACTTTGTCCTGTTTGGTTTGTTTATTTTGCCTTTCTTTTTCTGGGTTCTAGAGGTACAAGCTTAGATTGTTGATTAAGGCTTTTTCTTTTTTCTAATGTGTGTATTTAGCACTATAAATTTCCTTCTCAGTACTGCTTTATTTGTATGTCAACATTTTGATATGTTGTATTTTCATTTAGTTTAATGTATTTTCTGTTTTCCCTTGAGACTTAACTCTCCCATAGATTATTTAGGTGTTTGCTGTTTAGTTTCCAAGTGTTTGGAGATTTTGCCATTAACTTTCTGTTATTGATTTCTAGTTTGATTCCATTGTTGTCAGAGAACACATTCTTTTTTATTTCAGTTATTTTTACTCTGTTAAGGGGTTTATGTCTCCGGATTGGTCTGTCTTGTTTTATGTTTTGTGGGCACTTGAAAAGAATGTGTATTCTGTTGTCTTCGAATGGAGTAGTCTACTAAGTTCAGCTAGATCCTGTTGGTTGATGATGTTAAATTCTCTGTGTTCGTTGAATTCTATCTAGTGTTTCTATCAATTGCTGGAAAAGGGGTGGTGAAATATCCAACTATAATTATGAATTTATTTCTCTTTTCAGTGCTACTTCACACATTTAGTTTTTACTTCACACATTTTGCAGCTCTATTGTTTAACGTGTATAGGATTGCTTAGAATTGTTTAGGATTGCTATGTCTTTCTGATGGATTGACCCTTTTATTATAATATGATTATCCTCTCTGTTCTGATCATTTTCTTTGCTCTGAAGTTGCTCTATTTTAATATCATCTAATGTAGAAAGCCACTTCCTGCTTTCTTTTAATATTTCTGTGAGATATTATTTTCCATTGTTTCACTTTCAACCTGCCTATACTATTTGAAGTTAAAGTTTCTTCTAGACAGCATATGTTTGGGTCATGCTTTTTTTAATCCACTCTGTCTTATTGGTGTATTTAGACTACTCACTGTCATGTAATTATGGATATATTAGGGCTTAAGGCTACCTTGTATTTTACAGTTCAAAAATTTCCATTTGGTTCTTTTTTTGTATCTTATATTTCTTTGTCCTTGGACTTTTTTTTTTTTGCTGAGACTTTATATTTTTTCATTTTTCTATTACGTTTTTAATTACTTGTTGAAGCATTTGTGTGATAGCTAATTTAAAATGTGTCAGATAATTCTGAACATCTCTGTCATTTTGGTGGTTGCAAGTATTGATTGTGTTTTTGCATTCCATTTGAGATCTTGGTTTGACAAGTGATTTTTTAAATTGAAACCTGGATATTTTGGGTAGTATATTATGAAACTCTGGATCTCTGGATCGTATTTAAAGCTTCAGTTTTAGCTAGCTTACTCTAATGCTATTCTGGCAAGAGAAATCAGGGCTGCCACCTTATTACTGCCAGGTACAGGTAGAAATTGAATTTTCTACTCTGCATTCATTAACATCTAAGGAAGGATATCCCTTGTGACTGCTGGGCAGGGATGAGAGTTCTGGGTTCCCACTACGCTTTTACTGATGCTTTCTTGTCTGAAAGGGATAGGAGTGCCTTGTTACCACTGGGTGATGGTGAAAGCCCTGACCCTTCACTAGGCCTCCTCTATATCAACCTAGGGCAGAAGAGGATTGGCTGCTTGTTACTACCTGGCAAGAGCAGAAGTTCATGTTACCTGTGTGGTTTCGATTTCCACCAGCATTGTAGGAGTTGAGAGAGAGGCTTTATTATATCCTGGTAAGGGTGGACATTTTAGGTCCCCATTCAGTCTTTGCTGGCATTGGTGGGAGTTGGGCCATAGTTTTTTCAGTGGTTTTTAACTGGAGTAGAGTGTTTGTTTTCTAAGAGTTTTCTGTTTTGTGAGGCTCCTCCTTTCTTTGTCTTTTGGCTAGAGAAAAGGCAGGGTTTTATTGGGGCTTTTTGTCTGCCCCCATTGGTGTTGCTGGTTACTAGCTTCTTCAGCTCCAAGTTTGGAATATATTAGGCAAAAAGAAACCCAGATAACTCACCACCATGTAGTTCCTCAGGTTTCCACCTTTCAGGGTCTTGTGTTTATTTTCTATATAATGTTCAGGGATTTTAGTTGTACCTAGGAGAGAGTGAGTGTGAAAAGTTCATTGGCTGCATCCCACTCAAGTTAGTGCCTCTTTTATCTGCACCACTTTAGAATCAAACTCTTTGAAAGCATTCGTCTATACTTATTTTCTCCAGTTCCACTCTTTTCATTCTCTCTTAAACCTGTGCCAGTAAAATTTCTATCCCTGTCACTCCTTCAAAACAGTTCTTGTCAAGGTGTCATATACAAGTAAATACTGAAAGCAAAAATATGCATGTATTTTTGAACTGTAAGATCTTTTTTTTTTTTTAATTTTTAGGTTTGGGGGTACATGTGAAGCTTTGTTACATAGGTAAAGTAGTGTCAGAGGGGTTGATTGTGCAGATTATTTCATTACCCAGGTATTAAGCCTAGTACTCAACAGTTATCTTTTATGCCCCTCTCTCTTCTCCCACCCTCCACCTTCAAGTAGACCCCAGTGTCTGTTGTTTCCTTCTTTGTGTTCATAAGTTCACATCATTTAGCTCCCACGTATAAGTGAGTACATGTGATATTTGGTTTTCCAGCATTAGCTTGCTAAGGATAATGACCTCTAGCACCATCCATGTTCCCGCAAAATGTATGATCGTGTTCTTTTTTTATGGCTGCTTAGTATTCCATAGTGTACATATACCATGGTGTATATGTATTTTCTTTGTCCAGTCCATCACTGGTGGGCATTTAGGTTGATTCCATGTCTTTGCTATTGTGAATAGTGCTGCAATGAACATTCACCTGCATATCTTTATGGTAGGATGATTTATATTCCTCTGGGTATATATCCAATAATGGGATTGCTGGATCGAATGATAGTTCTACAAACAATACTTATCAAAACTTGTGGTTGCAGCTAAAGTTGTATTAAGAGGGAAATTATAGCCTTAAATACTATATTAAATTAATTAAATTCTGGTAAGATTGGTCAAGAAAAACAACAAAAAAGGGATGAAGATAATGCTAATGCAAATTAGAAAATGTTATAAATTTTAATCATATTTAAATAAACTTATATGTAAAATAATCAGTTATGAGAAAAGTATGGGACCAAAACATTCAAAAAGAAATAGAAAATCTGAATGGCCCTATGGCCATTAAAAATGTTGGTTTATTAGTTAAAAGTTTTCCTTCCCTCAATACTCACCTGAGTTTGGACAGATGCTAATTCCAGGGTTACATAAGCTTTTTCAAAAAACGGGGGGGAAAAGTAGCAATTCTCTTTTCATTTTCTGAGTCTTATGTACTACAATCTTGTTAAAAAAACTAGCAAGGAGAGTAAGAATGAAACTTAAAAGCTAGTCTCACTTAGGAACCTAGCAAAACAACCCCAAAATCCAGCAATGTATAAAACAGATAACATGACCAAATTTGACTTATTCTAGAAATGCAAGGTTTAATTAATATTAGAAAATTGTCCAAAATATTTACACATTAATGAAATTATGTTACTACACATTATAGGCCTTTGCATTATTGATTTAGTATAGTCTTAGTTAAATCTGAGAATGCCAGGTGGCTGGAGAGCATGTTGAATAACTAAAATTCAGTTTTGAGTGGAATACTGTGGACCACAGTAGATGGCACAATTAATTTGATTAAAGGGAGTCAGATGGTCTCTCAGAGGTGGCAAAATGTGAGTTAGGTCTTGATGAATAATATTTTTATCAGCATGTTTGAGATTTCAAGTGGAAATAATGGGTGCTGAAGTATGGCAGTGGCATTTGGGAATGGTAAGTGATATAATTAGAGCATGGTAAGGTTATCAGGAAGTGGCAGGAGATGAAACTAGAGATTTGTGCCAAATTGTGAAAGGCCTTGACTGCCTTGCTTCTTGCTAAACAGTGGAATTTATCAACCCACTGAGACAAAGTCAGTTAAGATTTTTGAGCCTTCCATATATTTAGCTGCTTATATTTAATGTCTTGTCTTTAAAAATAACACGTATGACTTGTTGTTTGCATGCTTTTGCATATATAACTTATTTGAAGTTAGGTGCTTCTACTGATTGACTTTGACTTTTTGTTCACAAAAATATAGGGATCTTGATTTATGACTGGACCACTTAATGTATTAATTTGCACTGTGTTATATCCTAAACTTTTAAAACTACTCATGACTAATGTCTTTCACCAAACTGTTACCTACGAACTTTCTAAAGAAATGTGTGACAAAGGCGTGATTAGTTTCATTTGCTCTGCCATTTTTAGCTGTATATGTGATAAAACATGTTTTAATACATCTCTTTTTAACTTCGATTTTATTTGGAATTTTTGAATGAGCTGTTTGTTTGTTTTTAAGCAAAGTAATTGGAGTGAACTTTCTTTGATTCCCAGGTTTTCTTTTTTCCCCTTTTTTCTTTTTTTATTGCATTGGTAGATGCAGGGCAAGAAATTTATTACTCTAAATTTGTGACTCAGAATTTTAAAACTAAATTAACTTCATAAATGCGCTCACTTTTTTCTTAATGCATTACGTCTAACCCCCAGTGATACTTTTATTTGATTTTCTTGATTATGTAATTTGTTTGATATTTCTTTTATTTAAGGTGTGACTGCACAGAAAAGTTACAAAACAAATTTGACTTTTTGCGCTCACAGTTGAATGATATTTCGTCATTTAAGAATATCTACAGATATGCCTTTGATTTTGCAAGGGTAGGTGCAATTTTCTTGTTTTGTTGTTTTAATAGCTTTTCATCTTGAGACCACACTTAGGAAAACTTTTTCACTTATATTTTAGGATAAAGATCAGAGAAGCCTTGATATTGATACTGCTAAATCTATGTTAGCTCTTCTGCTTGGGAGGACATGGCCACTGTTTTCAGTATTTTACCAGTACCTGGAGGTACGTATGTTTTTTCGAATTTTGAAAATATTATTTTAAAACTTAATCTGAAAGTTATACTTTTGAGGAACAAGTAGATTTTTAATAGTATGCTTTAAAAAAACTTTAGAGAAAAAATTCTAAAATATGTACATATCAGTTGCTATTTTTAGATAGAAGTTCATGTTTATTAATATATTTTGTACCTAAGATATTTTCAATCCTACCCCCCCAGTCCCCCAAATAAAAGAAACCTCCAAGAAATACATTGTATCACAGACATTTGTCTTGCAGAATTAGTTTCTCGGGGTTTTCATAAGAGAGTTAATGCTAGTACACAAACCTTTAAGCTTCTAAATCTGATTTTCTTCTTTTGTTACACAGGGTCTTAAGCTGAAATGTACATAAGAGAACCAATTTAGTAATAAAACTTTCCTTTTCTACTTAGGCTCAATCTAAAGAAACAGAATAAAGCTATTAATATTTTATGGCCACAAATATGAGAATGGCTATAATAGTATACTTAAATATGCTGGTTACTAAAAAAATGTAAGCTGAAATGATGACGTGTTCTTTTAGAAGGTTTATCATAGCAACTACTATAGGCAGTGATTCTAAGAAGATGCTATTCTTTTTTTCCATTGCTTTGTCTAGTTTTTTTTTTTTAAATCTGTTTTTGTGCCTTTGTAATTCTAGGGTTATTGGTATAGTTCTCACCATATCTTGAATACAGATGCTTTTTCCTTTGGAAATAATTTCTCATAAAGCACATTGCTTATAGCTGCTTCCCTTTTCCCAGAGTAGTAAAAGTTGTGATACAAGACAGTGATATCAGCTGGGCGTGGTGGCACACGCCTGTAATCCCAGCACGTTGGGAGGCCAAGGCAGGCAGATCACTTGAGGCCAGGAGTTCGAGACCAGCCTGGCCAACATGGTGAATCCCCGTCTCTACTAAAAATACACACAAAAAATTAGCTGGGTGTGGTGGTTTGTGCCTGTAGTCCCAGCTACTCGGGAGGCTGAGGCACGAGAATTGCTTGAACCAGGGAGGTGGAGGTTGCAGTAAGCTGAGATTGCACCACTACACTCCAGCCTGGGTGACAGAACGAGACTCTGTCTCAGAAAAAAAAAAAAAGAGACAATGATATGAAAAGGTCTTACATGAATGAGTTTTACGCATGATTCAATCTGTAAGTCCTATAAATTATTTTTGATGGATGGTATCTATTTTCTTCCTATTAGTAGTTTTGGGCAAAAATAAATTTAACTGAATGTAAAAATATTCAGCTCTATGGGGAGCTGAGAAGAACTAAATATTTTCAGACACTTGTTATGTGCAGGTTGTTTGGCATATATTTTTAAAAATCTTTATAATACCATTTTGAATTAAATTCTATCCCCATTTAACAAATGAGGAGGTGGTTTCTATTCTTAAGTAACTTTCCCAAAATCACTCAATTAAGTGGCAAGGGTGGGATTTAAATCGAAGCCTATACTCTTTCACTTGTTTCCAAAGATGCCAAACTCAAAATGTGGCTAAACAGTAAATCTTGAGCAAAGAAATGATTTACTAGGAAGCAGCACAATAGAACATACTGGATGTAGGAAATGTTATATATCTTGATCTCATTGGTGGTAACACAAGTATATACATATGAAAAAGTTAGTTTTATCCTTACTGTTAGTACTCAGTGCTCTTATTATTCCTCAAAAATGAAAAAAAAAGTAAAAAATAGATTATGTTAATATGTAAATGCCCATGAGGAATCTCTTAGAAACACAAATAATTAAAAAAATAGTAAATGTTTTAGAAAAAACCAAATCACAAAAACAGTTAAAACTTAGTTTACTAAATTGAGTAAATGATGTTTGTTTAAATATTTAAATACAAATATTTAAATCATTTTTGCAGCAATCAAAGTATCGTGTTATGAACAAAGATCAATGGTACAATGTATTAGAATTCAGCAGAACAGTCCATGCTGATCTTAGTAACTATGATGAAGATGGTGCTTGTAAGTATAACATAACATGTTCCTTTGAAAACAAAATTTCCAAAAATATTAAATGAGAGTATGCATTTGTGTAGTATTAGCATAGAGGTTTTAAACTTTGTAATAGTAACTTATTTAATTGTGTGAGGGATTGTGGGAGAAGTAGAGAGAGAGCTTAGATTCAGCAGTATTATATAAAATCTATGCTGGTAAATGAAATGTTTTCAGTTCCTCGGCAACCAAACATTTTAGCTAAATTTAAATTATAATTTTTGCATCCAGAAGCTAAAATTCAGCTTTGTTTCTGTCTTTCCTGGCATTTGCCTATGGAAGAAAAGTACAGTCATGATTTTAAAAATATAACAGCAAAACAATCAGCCACAATAGAAAAAGCTTTAACATTATTGTAATATTATGCTACCCATTAACAATATGGCAAATAATGTCAGTATAACTTCTCTCTGAAAACTATAAATTGATTGTGAGCTAACTGATAGTGAAATAGTTATAATTTTTCAATCCGTCAAGTTAAAATATCTGTCCATACTCCTCCATGGAAAGGCTAGAATGCCATAAAACAGGATTTTGAAATAATGATAAATTAATTAGATAAACCAAGTTAATTCTGTAGAACTATAAATTTTTTTCAGTTCCAACCACCATTTTGGTTGGTTGCATGTGTTTTCAGTGTTCAGAAGGGTTACAAGGAAAGGTACATTCCTATAAACTTAAACTGAAATTATACACTTTTTTCTGTGACACTGAAAAAATAAAATAACAGAAGAAGGGATAACTTTATTTCTTCCCACATATATTTTGTCCTCTCTCTACAAGATGGTATAAAATTTAGTATTATTTTAAAGAAATAATACCTAGCAGCAGTAACCTGGCAGCCCAAAGGCTGTATATGGCCCGTAGATGTGTATATTTATGTATTTTGTATCAGCATTTAAAACTAGGAGATTTTGTATTAAAATACAACATTTAGATTTGTTGGAAAAATTTAAAAAGTCTGACAAAACTGTACCTTTATAGTACTCCTTTATAGGAGTCAGAGGCTGGAGTCAAGTGTTAACTGTGTTGGACTTGCTTTTCAGTTTGACAGTTCATGGTATGCCAACACCTAGGCTGTTTTTCAGTTGCCATTTATTATCATATGTGCTCTGCTGCTTTTCTTACGATAGAGAAACATGTCTGTCAAAAGCAATGGAAAAAGACCACCAGAGGATTATGTGTTTTAAGAAGAATAAAGCAAGCATATTTCTTTGTGGCGGTGATTTTTTTCCTACATTTAAACAAAATAAACACTGAGCTCATTTAAACTGCCTACTTGGCTCTGTCAGCAAATGAGTTTGGACCTCCCCTACGTTATAAAAATATATGTTTTAGAATAGTACTTAGCTCATTAATTAGATATTCATTAGGCACTTGCTTTGTGTTCAGCTTTGTACTACATCCTGTTATTGGAATAAAGTAAGTCTCTATTATGGCTGATCCCTCTCAACAAGCTTGTACACTTCTTGGGGAGGCAACATAGAAATATTACCTTCAACACTTTTCAGATTGTTTCATAATTAAATGCCAGAATGCTATGGACACTTAGAAAAAGGGAGAGATTTGTATTGACTCAGTTACTGGAGGGTTCATGAAACACCTTGAGAAGGAAGTTGCTATAGATACCATTGTTCCTTGTGTCTTTAAGGGCAAAAAAGAAAAGGCTAATAAGAAAGCACCATTAAATGGAATAAGGTGTCTAGAAGCAGAACACCCAAAGAAAGGAAGGGTCATTCCTCTGTCATTGCAGAGCTCGTGGGGAGTTTGTTTTATAATTGGAGAGATGAGTTCACTGAATTCTGACAAAAATGGTTTCTTTTTTTCTAGGGCCTGTTCTTCTTGATGAATTTGTTGAGTGGCAAAAAGTCCGTCAGACATCATAGCAAGAACTATGTGAAGAAAATGCAAACCTTTCAATTCCCACGTGTATACAAGCTAATGTGATGAGGGGGAAAAAAATCCAACGGGTGCATTTTCATTCATATGAAAGACTTCTCATAGTACTTTTTTTTCCTTTTTTTAAAGGAGGTTTTTCTTGTTACATGTGATGGGCATTGAGCCACACCTCTTCTTAGACTGAATATTGAAGTTTTTGTTTTGAGTTATGTTTATAACATTTATTTCAGAACAATAAAGATTCAGATTTGTGACAAAGGCCTTAAAGTGAAGATGTCCCTTGAGTGTCAGAGTGGTATTTATTTTTGTAAATTTGAATTTTTTGATTTTTGAGGTTCCAATTCACCGTGAATTTACAGAATTTTCAAGATTTTAAACAGTCTTAATATTTGGCAACATAGTCTGCTGATGGTATGGCTCATTATAGTCATCTCTGCACAATTTGGAAGACTGTTGGCCTTGACTTCTGGGATAATGATTTGCTGATGCAGCTAATAAACATTTCTAGGTATTGGAAAAATGCTCCTACTTTTAGCTCTGGGTTTCTATAAAAGCTGCCAAGGTCTTATGCAGATGTCTTATCTCAGAGAGCTTAGAATTGGAAAGATTATGTCCAGTTGTTTTGTTTTCTAAAAAAGTTGTATTATTAAGTTGTATCATCATTATTATTGTTGATAATAGCATATTTATATTTTTAACTGTCATTATATAGGGAATTTTGTTTAAAGCACTTTTTTTTTTTTTTTTTGCCTTAAGAGAACGTTAGCTGTGATATGGATTTAATTAAGATACACATAGGAAAAGAAGACAATAGAATAAGGAATCATGAGAGAACTCTGGGTATAATTAATTGTGCACAACTCAATAGAGCCATTTACGTTGGTAGTATTGCAGCTTGCTAATTATCACAATTTTCTGCCTGTTGGTAATCAAGTGTCTTGAGGAAAGGGAAGGCTTTCCTAATTCATGTAAAAGGCACTTTTGTACTAGCAGCAGGCCTGTTTGTACATTCCTTTTCAAACCATCCAGTATCCCAGTGATATGAAAACTTTGTTCATATTCATAGCCCAGTCACAACTTCAGAAACATTTCTAGTGTCATTGTTTGAGTAGAGAGAAGTAAAGAGGTTATTTTTCCATAATAAGGGAGTGTTTCTATTAGGATTTAAGGTAAAGGTTGATTTTTCAGTGGTGAATTTGTTTAAAGAATGATTTCTCCATATTGATTACCTAAGAGAATGACATTTTAAAGTGTTTTATTGTTTGCTTTTTAGTTAATCAGCTGGGAAAAAAATGATTGCCACTGTTTTACTTGCCTTCTTAATAAGATTACTTTGTACAGTTTTCTGAAACACCCATAATAGTGGGAGACAGTTTTCCTAAATGTCTTATAGAAAAGGATAATACAGAATGCTCCTCTTAAGTATTAGAATCACTGAGTTATGAACTGAGCATACCAGTGGTGTTAGGATTTAATATTATGAATGATGTTTTAATATCAAATTTATTATAAGGAAAGCATTTAGATTTGTAGACCTTTAAATTTATAATTTAGTTGACTCTTCAAGGCACATCTGAACTGAAGAACATATCCACTTTTGTTAAATTCCAAAACATATAAGCAAAATCTTATAAATTGTCCATTTGTAACCTGAACTAATGGTAATATCTTTTTCATCTTCAGTATTTGAGTAAAATAGGGAACACTTAAAGCTTATAGATGACATGTTTTTTAAAAGGTATATTTATGAAAGCACAGGCATCCTTGGTATACGCAGGAGATTGATACCAGGACCCTTGTGTATACCCAAATCTGTGCATACTTAAGTCCTACAGTCATCCCTGTGGAACCTGCCTGTATAAAAAGTCAGCCCTCCCCGTGTATGTAGGTGTCGCATCCCGGGAATACTGTATTTTCAATCCATGTTTGGTTTAAAAAAATCTGCGTATAAGCAGACCCACACAGTTCAAACTCATGCTGTTCAAGGGTCAACAGTATTTACTTTGCATACTTATCCAAAGATACCTTTAAGACTTTTTGAGTCTGAAAATGAAATTTACTTTATTTTTTCCCTTAAAGTCAACTGTCCTATCCTACCCTAGCCATACTTTGGAGTCCAGTACCACTGAGGCCACGCTTGCTTTACTCTATTGCTCCATCTATTTCTCTTACCTTCTTAAAGTTATAACATTTGCCTACTTTGAAGGCAAATTTACTCTGCCTAATTCATCAGTCAGGGTGTGGGCTGTGTCCCTTCCTGTCTTTCCTTTGTTAATTTTGAATAGCATTTAATTTACTGGGAAATTTATGATCAAAAATGTTAAGTGATATAAACAATACAATATTAAGGACCCTGCAGTATAAAAAAGTCTAACTGTTGTGGTTCCTTTTTTGACTAGTTAGCTTTAAGTGCCTTCCCACGAACCCTGTTGTAAAATTTTCAGAACTACTTCCCTTTGTACAGGATGAAATACCGTATGGTGCTTTATAACATGGAGTTGAGTTGTTTCTATAAGAATATTATACAAATGTAATACTACTGGGAGAAAGTAGAGCCAGATGTTGATTGGACAGATTGCAACCCCCCCACCCCCCCACTCCTCGGGGCCAATAATTCTTAATAAGGTATGATGTTAATACCTCTAGGAAATTGCCAGGGATTCAGGTGACAGTGTGTGATGAAAACGGTGTATTGTGTGCTGGCCTGACTGCATTACCATGTTTGTCTTCTATTGTCTAATGATTTCTTATTTCTTAAATGCTGCTGATAAAATTATTGATATAATACATTTTTGACAGTAGTAGCATTTTTGTGTATAATGTATAGATTTTATTGGTTTTTACTCAGAAGCACTCTAGATTAGTGTTTCTTGAACTGCAATTTGAAGCCTTCTTTGGGAATGTTAGATTGAGGAGTATTTCTCTTAAATACAAATGCCTTTTCATCTAGCAAACCAAAAATTATATCTTAATATTGAATGCCATCACTCGGGGTCGGGGTGGGAGTAAATTCTGAGATAACTCCAGAGTTTTCAAGGCATACAAGGTATGTGGAATAGCACAGATTCAGAATACATGATACATACGTATAAAATGAAACATTTCACTTTGAAGTATTTCTTCAACAAAACATGTCCTGTCTGCCTACTTGCTAATGTGAAATTATGAAAGGATTTATTGAAATATATGTTCAGTTTGAGGTGTAATTGGTAAGAATGCCAGGTGTTGTTCTTCTGCCCTCTTAAAGAAGTGTACTTAAAACTATTGTGATAATTCATCTCTGATAAAACTTTGTTCTGGCCTTCAAGGCTCTTACAGCTTAATGTTTTAAATGTCTAAGGCATCAAATAAATTGAGGGCATTTTAATAAAAAAAAAAAAGGAAAACTAAATGCCTTTCTTTGTTAAAGCAAAAGGCCAAAAATAAAAAATAAAATTAAAACCCCCCCCAAAAAAACCCAAAAGTCTTACTCCTAAAGAAGAATTCTTACCTCTAAGGAGGAATCCTTCCCTCTTGAGGAAATACCACTTTTTGAGTGACATTAGAAATCATCACAAGGAAACATTTCAAAGAAAGGATCATTTTTTTTTCAGGAGAAAGAGGAATAACAATTTCATTAACTTCCTCAATAGGAAAGGCTAGTCTGAATTATTAAATATTCTGGATTATATCTTTTTTTAATGATATAGTTTTATTACTTCAGGAATATTTGGTAAGAACCAGGTAAACCTATTGTTTAAGATTTGTTCTTTTTTGTTAATAGACCTATGATTAGTATGGTGGAAGCCCAAAAAGCAGTCTAATTTTTATGATAAACTTACAGACTGTGGAAAGATGAATTTCTGCCCCAAACCTTGGATAAGTTGTCATTAATTTAATTGTAGAGATTTTTCTAGTGAACTTGTACTTCACTGGAACAAATCTTTAGATCTTTTAAAGCACAATTTATTTATGTTTTTAAAAACAGTCTTAAAACTGATCGATCATACATTTGCTGTGTCCACCTTACAATCTTTTACATTCTATTAGTACAGATAGTGTTTCCTTTGCTCCTTTTCCTGACCAGTTGTTATTGGTGTGACCATTTTCTTTTTAGGATCGATGAAACATTTTGCTGTGTATGCTGTGTCATGTATTAGAACCTCTTATAATATGGCTCATTTTTACATGGTTTCTGATTTACCATGTGTTAAATATTCCTTAAAATACATCTAGTAACACTATATAGTAAGGTTAGATTTTAACCTAAGTATTGAATCTTGTCTTATAATGCCAATTTTATTGGAGCTTTGTTGCATTTATTTTTGGCTCTATGGTCCATAAATGGGAGTTAATAGCAAACGTTTTATTAAAAATGTCTTAGCTTTCCCCCAAATTATATCATTTTTTAGAAGTTTTATCCTTCTGGGGTGTTTTTGGCTTTCTGAGCTTTAAGATATTAATGAATTTTTTCCACATACTTCATGGGTTTGGTTTTAAGTATGAGGTTAAAATTGTGGATTTTAAAAAGCTAATAAATACTTGAAGTGAATATATAGAGAGAGCCAGATTTCCCCAAAACTCTGTGAGCTGTGTGTGTTTTGTGTAGAATATTAGCCATAATTAACTTTTCCCTTTTTTTTTTTGGAGACAGGGTCTTACTCTGTCACCCAGGATGGAGTGCAGTGGTGCGGTCTCAGCTCACTGCAGCCTCGACCTCCTGGGTTCAAGAGATTCTCGTGCGTCAACCTCCCAAGTAGCTGGGATTACAGATGCCTGCCACCATGCCCAGCTAAGTTTTGTATTTTTTTTTTTGTTTGTTTTAGTAAAGATGGGATTTCACCATGTTGGCCAGGCTGGTCTCAAACTCCTGCCCTCAAGTGATCCCACCCACCTCAGACTCCCAAAGTGCTGGGATTACAGGTGTGAGCCACCACTCCTGGGAAATAATTAACTTTTTCACATAGAAAATAGATCACAGATAAAAGCTCCTCACATATTTTGAAGGTCAAAAAAAAATTTGCTGTTGCTAACAATTGCCTTTGAACCATGAAAGAGGAAAAACTAACTTTATTTGAGCAACTTGTCATTTGAGACTTAAACTAACTTATCAAACTTAGCAGAATTAACTTGTGAGTATTGACTTAAGTGAAGTTAGTTTATATACTTTACTATTCTGTCATGCAAATAAAATGGCTTAGAGCAAGTTCATACACAGTTACTTTTATCTACAAATGTAGAAATCTTACCTATTTGAAATTTACATTATTCCCTGAAACTATGCCTATTGAGAGAGAGTTTATAGAAGTATTATCTGAGAAACCTGAGTTTGATTTTCTTTTTGTGACATTCCTGTTAATGTCACTTTTAAACAAGCCACTTAACCTATGTCATTTTCAGTTTCTTCTGTAAAATGGCGATAATGATACCTACCAGTATTGTTACGAAGTTCAAATAGGCCCTATCCACAGCACTTAGTAGGTGTTAAATGAATGCGTCTTGTTACTTGAACAAGAAGTGGTTAGTTATGATAGTTTATTTTTTTCTGACAAATTTACTGTCTTTTATAAAAAGAAATAGCTAGGATTTCCTGTGTTATCCTGCCATTTTTATAATCAAACAAAATTATTAATATTCTCCTTAGACTAAATCATTAATTTAACAAATCTCAAGCATCTACTATATGCCAAGAAGTATTCTAGGCCTGAATATATTGCAGGGCACGAAGCAAGACAGTAATTTCGAACCTTTATGGGATTTTTATTTTAATTGGTTAGTAAAATAGTTTATCATTTGGTGACAAGGTTATATGGGGAAAGTAAGTTGAGGAAGGGGCCCAGAGAGTGTGTGAGGATAGGATTACTATTAAGTAGCATGTACACTGATATGTGACATTGAGCAGAGGCCTGAGGAGGTGAATGGTTGTGCAGTGTGGATATCTGGGAGGAGAGCATTCCAGGCAGAAGGAATATTACATGCTAAGGCCCTGAGCTGGTACAGAGTGTAAAGAAACAGTAAAGAGATCAGTGTGACTGTAGTGAACAATAATAGCATTTTAGGGAGAATTAGAAAATGAACTGAGAGAGATTGGGAGTAATAATCCTGCCTGATTGTAGGTAATTACGTAGGGCATTATAGCCCTTTCTCAAGAGTAGGACTTTACTGAGTGAGCTAGCAAGCAATTAGGATTCAGATCAAAGCAAGGATGGAAGCAGGTAGTAGTAGGAAGATAATATGGTAAATCCAGGTGACAAATGGTACAATTTGAGATTAAGAGTAATGGAAATAATAAGTGGTCAGATTCTGAATGTATTTTGGTGGTAGCACCAAAAGGATATGCTGATAGAATGGATGTGAGGTATGAAAAAAAGAATGATCAAGGTTTTTGGCTTGAAGAATGAAGTGGGCATTAATAAGATGGCGAAGACTCAGAGGAGCAGGCTTAAGCGGGTAGATTGAGAGTTTACTTTTGGATATGTTATGGTAGACTTGTCTGTCAGACGTCCAAAGGAAAATGTAGAGTGGGCAGTTGGATATTTGAACCTGGAAAAGTAGAGGTCTGGGCTGGAGATAAATATATTTGGAAGTCATCAGTGTGTAATCTTATTTTAAGTCAGGACATGGATGAAACCACTTAGAGAGTAAGTGTAGCCAGAGGATAGAACTTAATTGAAGACATATGATCGATGAAATTCAAGGCCAACTTTTGTGATTTTTCAAATAGAAATAAAATGTTAACATTTTCTACCACACATATACAAACCATTACTTTCTATAGTGTTGTAGAAGCACTAAGATTTAAAAAGCAAGATTGATAATAGTTGCCAAATATGTAAACAAATGGCAAATTAAATTGAGGAGGGAGTGTCACTTTATTCTTGGAATAAAGTTTTTGTTTTGAAGTAATACAGTTTTTTATATTAAGAATAACAACATCTGGAGTGCTAGTTTCTTTTTCTCATTGTTGGAAATTGCTATTCCAATTCAATTTGACAGTTTTAGCACTAGAGGGCAGGCTTGCTTCTAGATTGTGAAGAGTTCTACATGAATTAATATAGCCAAACAGCGCAGGTTGAACATCCTTAACTTGAAAATCTGAAATTCAAAATGCTTCAAAATCCAAAACTTTTTGAGTGTTGACATGATGCCACAAGTGGAAAATTCCACACCTGACCTCATATGATGGGTCACAGTCAAAATGCAGGTGTACAACAGTTTACTCTGTTCCCAAGAGAAAAATAAAATTAGCTGCAGGCTATGTGTAAAAAGTGTATATGAAACATAAATGAATTTCATGTTTAGACTTGGGTCCCATCCCCAAGGTATCTTATTATGAATATGCAAATATTCAAAGATCAAAAAAAAGAAATCTAAAACACTTCCGGTCCCAAGCATTTTGGATAAGAGATATTCAACCTGCACCTACATTCAATCTCAATTAATGAATGCAGTTGTTTCTTATGTGACAGGTTTGCCATCTACTATGTTTTTTTCTAGTGCTAGGAAAGCATAAAATAAGGCTAATTGATTTTAGTACATCTAGGACTGGCAGTTGACGCTAATATACATTTGAATATAAATGTATATTTATATTCCAAGGAGTTTCCAAGGAAACTCAAGTGTAGCTTAATTATACTCAGATTTGATATAGAGGGTCTTCCACCACATATATGAATATTAAAGCCAGTCAGAAGAAATCCTGGACATGAAAACATTTTTTCAGGAAATAATTAACTATGTGCTGGGTATTATTATATGAGCGTGGCTACAAAGATGAATAAAATATAGTCCCTGCCTAAATAAGCTTTGTTGTAGCATCTTACAGCACTTAATATCTTGTGCTGTATCTATTTAAATGTCTTTTTCCCTTCAATAATAGAAATCCTGACTCACTTATTTTTGGTGCCTCCAAGTGCCCATCACACAATTCAGTTTACAGTGTTTGAACATGTGAATAATGAGAGAGAGAAAAATAAGAAAACGGTCAGGGAATTGGGGCCTTTGAAAAAACTTATTTTCACATTTTTACCCTTAGAGAGATGCTTTTCCTATTAACACGTCTAAAGATTATGGAGACAATTCTAACCTTCTATCTTTGCTCCCACTACTTCTTCAAGCAGACTTTAACCCCATTCCTCAAGAGCAGTTATTGGCAGCCATAGAGAGTGGGAGGTCAAGCCTTTTTTAGTCATTGGAGTAAACAGGAGACATAGATGTGGAAATTGGGAGGTTCTCTCTATCTGGCTTACGTCAGTTTGAGAAGTTTGACATGAAATGGAACCTTCTGGAATGAGGTTCTTTTTCCTGCTTTTCACCTGGAAAGTTTTCCCATACATGGTCCTCTTGCACCCCTAGTCCTTTTAGGGTACCTATTTCTGTGTGCTAGTTCTTTCATTTCCTTGTCTGTAACATGAGGATAATAATAGTCCTTATCTAATAGCATTATTTTGAGGATGAAATGAAATACAGGCAGTAAATATTAGTTACTCTTTGCTATCTGGAAAAACATCAATTGAACCTCATAGGATGGACTTGTGTTCAATAAGTGTTATATATAGTAGAGTCAAATGGAAAAATTGAACCACTCAGATACATTTTTTTCATTGATACATAATAGATGTATTTATTTGGGGGGTACATGTGATAATATGATATATTCATATAATTAAAATTCATTGATACATGATGTATTTATTTGGGGGTACATGTGATAGTATGATATATTCATATAATTAAAATTCATTGATACATAATGTATTTATTTGGGGGGTACATGTGATAGTATGATATATTCATATAATTAAATGAAGATAATTGGGATATCCATCACCTTAAATATTTATGTTTTCTTTACACTAGGAACATTCGAATTCTCTTTAGCTATTTTGAAATGTACAATAGTTTAGTGTTAATAGATCAGTCATCCTACTGATATATCGAACACCAGGTCTTATTTCTTCTGTCTACATAGACATATTTAGAAATGCAAATCTCTTAGGAAATTAATCTGTAATGTCAATGATGCACACTGATTTGTATTACTTGCTTTCTTTGTAGGCAGTATAGTGAAATGGTTCATTAAATGGATGCTAAATATGACTAAATGATCAATTTACAGTGTAGTTGGCACCAAGTAATAAATGCTCAGTAACATAGCTACTATGGCTGTCTTTAAAAGTGGATTGGTTTGACTTCATAGGAAGGACTCTATTTTTAAAAAAGAGAAATATTAAAAAATAAAAAGCCAAAATTCTATGATGTCTTATTACATTGAGTCTCTTAAATCAGTTTTTTTTTAATTAAGTAGCAGGACCCTATTGCAAAATAAGTTTTACCTAGAAGCACAGTATTTAAAACAGAAAGCTAAAATACTCTGGTTAAGTGGGAAGCTCCCTGTCTTCCTCGCTGCTAGTATTATTTCTGAAAAACCTCAAAGGAACTCCTTGCTCTCTGAATAGCAGGTTTTAAAAACCACTACTTGCACATTTGCACCTTGACATCAAACATGTGAACAAAGTAATAGAGTGAGAAAACTGAATTTCTATTTAGGAATTTCTATTTTATTCTCTCTATAAAAAGCCAAGAAGTGGTTGGTGTTTGGAATAACATGAAAAATATTCCAAGTATCTTTGGAAATACTTACACTAGAACTATAAGGTTTATGATAATTCTATCTTAGATTCATTATCTAGAGCTGGTCTAAAAAAGGATGATATGTAAGAACTACCAAGAGAGACTTGGAGTAGATACAAGAATGAAGGAATGAATCAATATCCAATAAATATCCATAGGCCCAGGCTTTGCTATGCCCTCTTATTACACAGGATAAAACAGTGTAGTTGTTAGTTTCTACCTTTGAAGATTATGATCCTTAAAAAGGAAACAGCTCTGTGAACAGAGACCATGTTATTCATAGGTGTTCCTCACTTGTTTCCACCACATAATAGGTATTTAATGAATGAAAAAATTCACGTCTCTCTTTGATCCTAGACTGCAAGTTACTTAAAAGAAATGGACCGTATTTTACTTATCTCTCATGGCCTGCAAATTGAGTTTGCTTACTGAATTAATGAATGAATGACCAATTGTACACATATGTCTGTAAAACGTTTACATATCCACATTCCCATTAGACTGAGATTCTTGAGGGCAGAAACCATGTCTTCAGCTCTCAGCATGGTGCCTGACTCATGGTAGGTTGTCAAAAGCATTTGCAGAACTGAATAAAACTTACGTTTAAGTAGTACTGGAGCAGTCTCACATAACCGGGCACAGTGTCTTCTAAATAGACACTAAAATTATTTCATAATTAAAGACAGATCTCACTAAGCATTTTCTGAGTTAGTGCCAGTTGAATAATATGACAATAAGCTATAGGAGTTCAGAGGAGAGTGAGTTCTGTGGACTGAAATAGTCAAAGTGGATTTTCAGAGCAGATGAGACGCGATGAAGGCTGGGGCTACTTTGGTGTTTTAAGAACATTAATTAGGCAGCAGGAAAATCTGAGGACAGGGAGACTAGTAAGGAAGGCTGGAAAGAGCCCTGGGTTTGGAGTTCAGAGATCTGTGTTCAGAGTCCTTTGCTTCTTAGTGACTATGTGACCTTGAGAAGATAACTTGAGCTCCCTTTTTCCTCTTCTGTGAGGTAGAGGTAAGATTGATGTGCATATTGATATTGTACTTAAAAGTGTTTGTAAAATGCTAAGTAAAACCTAATGCTATGCTTTGAATGTAGTGGGTTCCAAATATTTGTTTAATGACAAAGAATAAATGATATTGACTAATGAAAATAATGGAGCCACTGGAATGTCACCTCCTGCATCTGCCAGTAAACCTGTTAACACAGGGGTGGCGGGGGGGGGGGGGAAGTAAATATGTGAAGCCACCAAATCTCATGATCAGGAGAAAAACTTTGGAACTCCCATGAGACTCCAAAGTTATGTCACAGGTGAATAAGTCATGAACTTTTCATGCTGATATCATTTCTAAGGTTGCTGCCTTGTCAGAAGAAGCAAACCACAAGATAAACCATGCAGAAAATCTTTTTTTAAAAAAGTTTCCTGAAGGATGGATGGTTCATTTGTTCTGCTTGTCACTTTACTTACTAATGAGTCATTTTTTTCCTTAACCAGTAATTTGTTTTAAATTTGGTCATAAGATGGTATGTTGACTAGTCCAATGTTACAAAATAATTGGAAAAAAGATGACAGACCACCAACTGAATAAGGGAAATCTGGTTCTTGAACTTCCAATGTATGAATTGGTGATGGTAAGCTTAGTCTTTATGATGTAAGATTGGATTTATTGGAACTTCTTTATGTCCAGAAGTTGCAGCACCTTTCTTTGTCTCTGGAATGCCCAAGATCTCTACTGCATCCTGTAGACATGGAGGGTTTCCCCCCTTATTCTGGGTCTGATTATTTTTAAAGAAACACCCTTTCCTTACCCATCATGGAGACACTACTAACCTTGTATATACTTTTATTAGAGTGCTGATAACACCATATTACAGTAGCATACTTACATATCTGTTTTCTTAACTGTGAGCTCCTTGAGAGCAGGGACTGTGTGTTTTTGCTTTTATTTCACCAGTACTCAGAACTATCCACAGTATAGAAAAGCACTCAATAAATGGAATAAATGAAAATGAATAGATAAATAAATGATTTCACTTGTATAAGATGTCCAGTAATCTTTTGTGTATTTTTCTAATTCACTGTATGGCACACATTCTAGTACAACCCTGTTTATAATGTTGACCTACTATTAAAGGAATTAAACAAATGTAAGCCAAGACAAGAAATGCATATTAAAACAACTATGGTATTTTTGCCTTCCAAATTGGCACAGATTTTAAAAATTGATAATGCCCATGTTTGATGACACAAGGAGACAGGAATTGTTATACTTTGCTGGAGGGAATATACATTGGCATAGCCTTTTCTGGAAGTCATTTAGGGAGATACATCCAAAAGCCTTAGTAAGTTTCATATTTTCTCACCCAACAATTCTATGCCTATCATCTTAAAGAATAAATTTTAAAACTTTCAAAAGATTTTTATCATAACATATTTGATAGAAAAAATGAAATAACCTAAATGTTTAAGCATAGAAAATTTGTTGAATAAATTACAGCATATTTATGCAATAGAGTACTATGCCATCTTGAAAAATCCACACTGTATTTTCAAAGGGAGTAAAAGACTGGCTTTAAAGCAGCATATAGATAGGCACAATAGGATACTTGTTTTAAAAATGTGTATGTATAGGTCTGGCACAGTGGCTCACGCCTGTAAATCCCAGCACTTTAGGAGGCCAAAGTGGGCGGATCACCTGAGGTCGGGAGTTTGAGACCAGCTTGACCAACATGGTGAAACCCTGCCTCTGCTAAAAATACAAAATTAGCCGGGCGTGGTGCCACATGCCTGTAATCCCAGCTACTCGGGAGGCTGAGGCAGGAGAATCGCTTGAACCTGGGAGGCGGAGGTTGCGGTGAGCCGAGATCATGCCATTGCACTCCAGCCTGGGCAACAAGAGCAAAACTCCGTCTCAAAAAAAAAAAAAAAAAAAAAAAAATATGTATATATATATATATATATATAGAGAGAGAGAGAGAGAGAGAGAGAGAGAGAAAAGCCTGAAAGGCTGTGTACCAAAATATGAAAAATGTCAACTTACTGGTAATAGAATTACCAGGGGTTTTTAGTTTACGTCACTCTATATAATATGATGAGTATGTATTACTGTTTTAATACAAAAAGTCAATAAAGGTTCTATAAAGAAGGCATACTTTCTCTTTTGCTGATTATATATATCCTCCAATGAAAGAAGAGGGACCAACCTTAAAATATGAATTTTTACCCGGCCCCAGTGTGGCAGACCATTTTCCCTGTTTTTCCCGTTGTCCTTTGTAACTCATAGGATACAGTGGAGGCCTATACAGAAGTAATTGATTCATTCATTCAGGAAATACTTGCTGAGGACCTACAATAGTCTAGGAACTTGGGATATGAAATAAGTGTTGAATTCTTAAAGGCTAATTGTATTGTGGAGTTATTTTTAAAACTGGAAATTTAATAAAGAGTATCTAGGCTAACCTTCTCTCTTTGGAGACAGGGAAAATGGATCCCAAGGAGGTTGCCTAAGATTGGATGTATAATAAATGGCACATCCTAGACTTGAATTCAGAAATATTTCTAGTTGTGCGCTCTTTCTAGTCACTTGGGCCTCTCATTTTGTAAAACTATCATCTGCACAAATACAGATTCTTAAAGTCAGAAGAAATCTTGTCCTTGATGCTTTTATCTGTTCTACAATATCTTTAATAATCCTAATTTGCTTCACTTTGTCTCATAGAATATGTTGTTAACTAAAGCTTCATACCTGTGAATTTTCTATATTAGTCGTTACATTATTTCTCCCTCAAATCATACTTTTGCTTTATTTTTAACCACATAAAACTGGACAAAGCCACTTAAAACCTTTCCTCCCATTTACATCAATGTGGTCCTCTTTCCAATGTGGAGGGCCCATTTAGCCAGTCAGTAATCCATGTACCTTGTATATTATGCACAAAAGTTATGTATCATTTAGATTTTTGTCAACTGCTGAAATACAAATACATTATAGTCACAGCACAGCACAGCACAGCACTACACTGCCTTCAATTTCTCAAATGAGCTATTCCTTTATATTCTACTTTCTCCACCTTGAAAGTCCTCACCTGGCTCTTACTCAGCCTCCAAAATTCCTAATCCTAGCATAGATATCACCTCTTCTGGGAATGATTTCCTTACCCACACCCACTCCCAAACATCCTCTCTTACCTCCTATAGTGTCATCGGGCATATTGCATCGTATTATTCTGAACTCCTTGAAGCCAGAGACTTAGTCTTTTATCTTCCTGATATGTCCATAGGTGAGTGTGGGACCAATCACAGGCACTTAAACATCTCTGTTGATAGAATAAAGAAATGGATGGAATGAACAAATTTCCTTACCACGTTAAAAAATAAAGGTTACTTTGCAATTATTCTTCCGTGCTGGTTCCTTGTGATCACCTCTTCTTTCTGTTTATCATTATTTATTAATCTGGTTTATATTCTCCTGTATTGAGATAAAAATCACTATAAAATTCTGTATTTTTGAAAAATCAGGAAAAATGTATGCCCATCTCCAGTTCTGTAGCAGTTGAGCATCTTGTTCCCCATTTTTCCTTTAAGATTATAGATTGTGTTTTGGTTATAATATCTGTACATTCACTGAGAATTCTAGGTTGAGATATTGGAATTCATTTCATAGTAGCAGTGTGATATTGTGCAATGATCAACACACAGGAAGCTGAAGAGAGGATTCCAGTTCAGATGGAGCCACTGATTTGCTAGATGACCTTAAACTAGCCATTTATCTTTCCAGGGCTTCAATTTCTCATCTGCAAAGTGAAAGTATTGGATTCAATAATCTCCAAGGTCTCTTCCCTCTCCCAGATTCTCTTAAATTCTATCTAGTGTGTTCTCTTAGAATACTATGACCTGATCTTAGCTTTTGAATAACCTAAAGAATTGGACTTTACAGGTCAGCACTCAACCCAACGTAGAAGTTGCCTCTTTAATCCTCTGACATATTCGAGCTCTGCTTCAGTATTTCCTGTAGTTTGATGTTATTTCCATAAAAGACACCTCATTCCATTGAAACAACTCTCATTGCAAGTTTTTTTCTGACATCAACCCCTGATATACCCCTCTGTCACTTCCATGGATTGATTCTGATTTTGCCCTACAGAATGGAATTTCTCTTTATCACTTGACAGACTTTCAGATATTTGAGAATAACAATAGTACACCAGCCATAAGTCTTGTATTTTCCAGGTTAAAAAATTCTGGTTTCTCTGACTGCTTCTCATATGATCAAATTGCTCCTTATTCCTGATGCAGCCTCTCTGTCCTTTTGCACCTCAGTGACTGCAGATGCAACCCTCCACCTGCAGTGTGCTTCATCCCTTCCTCCATACTGAGTCACTCATTCATCAAGGCCCAGTTTGGACCCTTTCGTCTTCCAGCCAAATGAGTTATTCTGTCCTCTGTGCTTCATAAATGCTTTACTTTGCTTTTACACACCTTTTACTACAGTGATTTTTATACTGTATTTTAAGTTTTTAATGTATCTGTGTGCTCTGCGATAGCAAGGAACTTAACTGGCTTGTTTATAATGCTGGGAACCTGACAGGCATGCATGAGTTAAATGACTGAGAGTCTACTTTCTAGCATATAATATGGAGCCTGGCATATAGTTGATGCTTAAGAAGTGTTTATTGAAAAAAATGAATTCATGAACAAATGCTATTTGCTTCAAGATACTTAAGTATCCTTTGAGTCCTGTTAAAATATTAAACCTAGAACCAAACATAAAACTACAGATGTGATTACACGTGTAGTGCAGAGTGTAGGGGATCTTACACATGCTGGAAGCTATCTTTAATTTCAGACTGACATCCACAGTAACAAAGAAGACAAATTAAACTAGGACCTGAGTAGTTCTGTTTCTCTTTATTCAGTGTGATACTCCCCAGCAGTGTTCACGTCTTCTCCATTCTCTTACCCTGAACACAACTAAAGAAGCCCTCAGCATCTTCCACTTTCTAAAGCAGTGGGTCTCCAGACTTTTTGGCACCAGGGACCAGTTTTGTGGAAGACAGTTTTTTCATGGGGGTTGGGAGTGGATGGTTTCAGGATGAAATTGTCCCACATCAGGTCATCAGACATTAGATTCTCATAAGGAGCCATAGCCTGGATCTCTCGCATGCTCAGTTCACAATAGGATTTGCGCTCCTATGAGAATCTAATGCTGCTGCTGGTCTGACAGGAGGCAGAGCTCATGCGGTAATGTCCCCGCCGCTCACCTCCTGTGTCGCCCATTTCCTAACAGGCCATGGACAGGTACCCATCAACCGCCAAGGGTTGGGATTGGGGACCCCTGTTCTACAGTTTATTCTGGGCTTTTGCCTTCTGGCTCTACTCTTAGGTCTCTGAGGCATTCTTGCTTTTTTGTCTTTTATGGCTGTCTATGTAAAACATGCTTCCCTTTTTGTCTTTATATGTAAAGACAAAGAAAAAAACTTTTTTGTGCTTATAATGTGGTAACTTTATTTAAAGATCCTGCTAAAACTCATGAAAAGCCTTTTCTTAAAATAATTATCTGTAAGACTTGAAGAAAACTGATCATTTGGAAACCTTCTGTATTTTTTTAGAGTAATATAAACTTTAAAAATAAAAGTTGTGGTTTGATGCAGTTGCTGGCATAGATTTATATGCAATTGCATAAATTATATACTTTGCCCAGAATTACTTAGAATTTTTTTTCAAAATTATTTTATTTCTTACATGATGATTTAGAGGGACAGTTTTCAAACCAGTAAAAATATTTTATAAGTAATATCTGGCCGTTTTCTAACCAATTGAGTAATTTGTTGCACAATAAGCCACATCTTTCAGCAAGAAAAACATTAAATTTAATATTAATAGTAAAGACATTACACAATGAATAAGGGCAAAATTTAAATTTGCTTTAAATATTTCTTTAGGGGAGAGGACACCCACTTCTACTCAAAGAAGAGAAACATTTTTACAGTTCAGAGGCCTTTTACTTTTCTACACCTATTATGCCATGAATCCATAGGGAAGGGGTCTCAGCAGCTCAAGCTCCTTCCAGTTGGTTCTCACAAAATGCACTTCTCTGGGTGGAGCAGGCTGGCGCTTCACCTGAACCCAGGTACTTCTCTCTTTGGCTTCCTTCTTTTTCCCATCATTTTCCTTCACACGTTTCAGGAAGCTATCCTGGCTCTTAGCATGCTTAATGTGCTCAATACACACATTAATTCTCTTGCCAGGAATCTTGCCCTTAACTTGTATGTTTACAACAATGCCAACGGCATGCGGAGGAACACTGGGACTCTTCCGGTTTTGCCATGGTAACACTTGTGGGCACTCCTTTTTCAACCTATTCCCTTGATGTCTACAATATCACCTTTCTTATAGATTCATGTGTTTGTGGCCACAGGAACAACTCCATGTTTTCTAAAAGGCCTACAGAACATATATAGGGTGCCTCTGCTCTTTCCTTTTGCATTCGTTATTTTGGTGAATTACTGGAAGATGGCAGTTCCGGCCAAGCAGGCTAGAATGTTATTTCCTTCTGATTACTAAAATGCCCATGGCTTCTATACCTTCCAAATCTTCTAATCTCCCTGAGCAGTGCCTATTGATTCAGGTGGTGGTCACTGAATGAAACAAGATACAAGCGAAAAAGGAATATAGAGCATAGGTTTGTGTGTGTGAGTAATAGAGAAAAGCAAAGGGAAATGATACTAAGTGTAGTTGCTATAAGAAAAGATGAGTTTTCGGCCGGACGCGGTGGCTCACGCCTGTAATCTCAGCACTTTGGGAGACCAAGGCGGGTGGATCACAAGGTCAGGAAATCGAGACCATCCTGGCTAACACGGTGAAACCCCGTCTCTATTAAAAATACAAAAAATTAGCCGGGCGTGGTGGTAGGCGTCTGTAGTCCCAGCTGCTCGGGAGGCTGAGGCAGGAGAATGGCATGAACCCTGGAGGCGGAGCTTGCAGTGGGCCGAGATCGCGCCACTGCACTCAGCCTGGGCAACAGAGCAAGACTCAGTCTCAAAAAAAAAAAAAAAAGAAAAGAAAAGATGAGTTTTCTACCTCATTTATTTGGTGAAAATAATGAAGAAAAGCCAGCGGGACTAAGGAAAAGCAGGCAAGTTTTTCAGACTTCTTATATCTGTATGTAGACAAGAGTGGGAAAAAACAAAACAGGAAGTACTTCATAAGTGTAAACAAATACTTATCACGTGGCTTTACTGGAAAATTGTGCATTCTCCTGAAGTCCCAGAGAGTAACTAAATGGAAAGAATGACAACTAGAAAGAGGAATTTGTCATGAACCAGATTCCAGCCACGACACAACCTTCAATTACCTAATATGCAAATTTAGAAAATTACTCAATCACTTAAAAAATAGAAATGGTCAAAAAAATCTCAATAATATCTTAAAGTAAATGCGAGCTCAGCAGAATCAATATTTTAATCAGTAACTACTTATTTTAAATATAAAATTCTAGACACTCCTAGGAGGATGGTCTGTCCCGTGTTTTTATAGTGGATGAGATAAATATAACAAGGGAATTTGTACATCCATTTTGTGGGGTTGCTTGGCCTTCCAAAAGTCAAACTGGATAAGACTGGCTTCCAGAAAACCAGAAAGTTTTCCTGTTAATAACTGAGAGTTCACTGTGCTCTTTGCCTTCTCATAACCCTTGTTTATTAGCAGTGGAAAGAGCTCTGGATTAGAAACCAGGTGTTTTGCCTGGATAATTTCCAGGGTTGTTACAACATTCTAATAAGATAGGCATGGCAAATCACTTTATTGCATCTATGACGTTATTCAGTAATTTCAAATAGTGTTAACATCAATACTGCGATGAATATGTGAAATGCATGTGATCAGTTATGAATTTATAGAATTATAAAAGTATTGATTGTGAGATATGATTGGAAACTAGTCCAATGAACATATTACCTTAAAAATTTCTACAACTATGATTAACAGCTACTGACCATTTAACCAACATTTAAAACCAGTCCGTGGATTGATACCTGTTCTTTCAATGAAGAGACTACTTGCTTGGTATATGTGAGAAAATCAATTTTCCAAAAAGCATTCTTGTTTATGTTAGAGGGAAACTTGTAATTACCAAACAGGAGTGGAATTTGCATTTAGGCCATTAGTTTTTGCTCAGCAAATTTGGGAGAAAATCAGAGTTGTCTGAAACTGTAAACATTATCCAAAAGAGTTACCCTAAAAATCTAGTTGCAAGAAAAAAAAAATCTGTTGATTTTTCTGAACTGCTGGAAAATTTAGGCAGTAGCAGCTGTAATTCTTAACTCCACTTGACTGGTTACTGATAGAACTGAGCTATACTAAAAATGCAAGACTGCAGTTGATGTCTTTTTACCTTAGGTCACCAATTTACTCCAAGTTTGCTTATTAAATTCTCAAGTGGCTTTCTTCTGATATTGCCCTCCATGCTTTCTCTGTTCCACATTAAATGACTTCTCATCCTCTTAGACTGAGGTACAAGTTTACATTCTTTGTTTCTCATCAATACTAATAATTTAAAAATACGTGTATAAGGCAAATCTATATAAACTCTGTATTGAACATTCAACAGAATTTGCTTATTGTAATTCTTAAAATTCACATTTCAACTGGTTGAATATATACTGTCCATGGAAAATAAAGGATATTTTCCTAAAGCAGACTTCTTAGACACATAAAAACAGAAGGTATTAAAAATGATCAAATGAAATTCATCTTCTTTCAGTTTAAAAATATTTTCTTAAATCGATAAATAATTATGTATAATTTGTAGGGTATAATATGATGTTTTAATCTATGTATACATTGTAGAAAGATCACATCAAGCTAATCACTGATTTAGAGGGCTTCATGGGCTGTTAGGAATCCTGATGATACAGTGAAAGTTCCTATCTCATAGTGTTGTTGGGAGATTAAAGGAATTTATACATGGAAGGGCTTGTGATAGTGTCTGATATATGATAAATGTTCATAAATGTTTTCTATTTTCTTCTGATTACTACTTTAAATAAACTCTGGGGTATTTTGTGAGGAAATCTTTTGCTTGCCTAACAGTAGAAGTCATTCTTTCTATATTGGGGTTTATTTTCCCCTTTATTTTTCTCTGTCTTATTCTCCTTGCTCTTCCTGCCTTTCTTTATTGGTTTTTATTATTGAAAATCTGAGGTAGTGGCTTGGTGACCCCAAAACAAAAATTTAACCTGCTCAACCACTTGTCCAGCAGCCTGGGAGACAAAACAGTGTGCTATTTGTTTGCTGATACTGTTTTCCTCTTCTTTCTTACAATCCACATTCTATCCTCCAGGCCCCAATCCTTGCTCTTTCCCCAGATCAGTCCAGAGTACACTGATATTCACTGAACTAATCCAGTGCTTATCATCTACACCACGCATTTATAGTTTCCTGTATATAATCAGTTGCATGTTTCATGGGATTTTGTATTTTTCTCTTAAGTGCTAGTTTTGTTTCCTCAAGAACTTAGGCTTATGGGGACGAAAATCCCATCCTTTCTCCCCAGACCATCAAGTATCTGCCACAGTGTTATACACCTGATAGATTCTCCCTAGGAAATGCTTGATGAGTTGAATCCCCCTACCTCATTTAAATGGTTGTTTTGATATCATGGAGTTACCATCTAAGTTGTATCAAGGAAAAGAAGTTCTCTACTCATCTCTAATAATTTGTTCTACCATCCAAATGATTCTCTTTTTGTCAGAAAGTTTATCTTAGAGACAAACCTAAATCATCCTTTTGTAGTTGATAGTACCATCTGGATGAAACGAAAGAAGGAATTGTGATAATTATCATGGTTAATTACTTTGATTTTTAATACAGTTATTTTCTTAATTCTTTTTTAAAGGGATTTATGTTTTTGTTCAAGGAGTTTTAAGTCTTTGGATTCTGTGATTGAAAGAGCTATATCCAGTTATATCTAATTTTTATTCTTTTGGTGGTATTATTCAAAATGAGATCTGCATAATGTCTGTATCAGAATCACCTGGGTTATGGAACCTGAAAACTTCAATGCATCATTTCAGAGCTGCTGCATCAGAATATCTTGGTGTGAAGCTGAAAATTTGCATTTTAATGCTTCCAGATAATTCTTAGATATTTGGGAGTTGAGAATTATTTTTTTCTTAATATGCTGGAAAGAGAATTGCTGTTTTGCATTCCTTGGTAAATTTTGCATTATGTAATTTTCAAGTTATTAAATAGGGTATTGCTTGGCCTAACAAGACGCTTTTTTTTTAGTGTGAGGACCCTCTCTGTCTGTCTCTCTCCCCCAACTCCAGTATACATAGACATACCATCTTATTTTGTAATAGCTCCCTGATAGTACCATGGTCCTAAGCTCTAATGAAACTCATCTTACATTATACTATTATTATAAATTTCTCTATATCTGACATCTTCCACTTCCACCAGATTATGTTCCTCAAGGAGGGTGTGCATGGTTAGGTACACGGTAAATGTTTACTATTACGAACATTAAATACATTTTATATTGCTATTAAACTGCTTCATGTATATTAAATGTACATTCTCAACATAGGAAACTAAACAGATTAATCCTATATTCTTTGTTATCTTTTACCCTTTTGAATATATAGTAAGAGAGGAATGTGAATAAACCAGTTCTATATTTGATAGGCATTCATAATTTTTGTTAATTCTTTGAGGTGAGAGCTGAACAAATATTTGGTTTATATATTAAGGTAAAACAGAAGAAAAAATAAAACAAATCTATACTTAGTATTTTTTTCTGGAAGAATGGCTCAGCAGGGCTAAGCAAGATTTTGTTTACAAACCTGGTTTCCATATTTGGTGAGCTTGCATACAAACCAACAATCTTTGGTAACTCATGAGCCATTGTCTCCTGATGTTCTTATTTCTGACCAGAACATGAAGTTGGCAAAATTATCCAAAACATCACATCCTAAACTACTCTAGTTACAACCAAGAAGCTTGATTTCCAAAACAGAAATGTGTAACTGTTAAATCCACTAAAAGGAAAATTCCTCATTTTTAGGCAATTGATTATTTTTTTCTCTCTGATTTGAAGCATGTTTAGATGCATATTATAAATTTTGTTATTTATAATAACAAAATTATTATAAAACAGGGCCTTTATATCCTTTTCATCCATGAGTATACAGCAGACAAATATCTTATTATCTCTAATTCTGTCTGAGAATAAGAAACCAGTACAATTTACTCAACAATGTACAAAGATCAGTGAGAAGAAAGAAATCTTAGGCTGAGAATTCAAGATCAAATAAAGTTCTAGAACATGCTGTGCCCCAGGCTTTTTACAAAATTAAGCCTTAGTGGTCACCTTCAAACCAGCAAAGCAATGTGAACACCGAGAAAGTCTTCACTTGCCCTTCCACTTTCTTTACATGTTGGTCCTGTCTTAATGTCGTATTAAATTCATACAAACTGTCTTTTGGGAACTGATGGCAACTTTCATATGTAAAGGGGAGAAGGGAACTAATATTTATTAAGCTCCTGCTATGTGCTTACTACTTTTAAAATATTATTTCATCCAATCCTTGTAATTCTTGACATGGATTTTATAAACCTTGACATATGGCAAAATTTATACTCAAAAAAGCACACAGATGATAACTGAGTGAACCCGTACTCAATACCAGGATTTCTATTTTCAAGTCTGGTATGTTTATCACTATTCTAGGACTATGTACTACATAGTAAGTGGTCAGTGAATCTTTGCAAAGTGAATGAATGAACTCCATGGATGTCTCCTGAATATCAACTTGAATCTCTTTCTTTTTCACTCTCTTTTTCTCACAGTAAATATTTATTCTTTTTTTTTTTAGAGTTTTCTTTTTTTTTTTATTATACTTTAAGTTTTAGGGTACATGTGCACATTGTGCAGGTTAGTTACATACGTATACATGTGCCATGCTGGTGCGCTGCACCCACTAACTCATCATCTAGCATATTCAATTAGGAAAAGAGGAAATCAAATTGTCCCTGTTTGCAGATGACATGATTGTATATCTAGAAAGCCCCATTGTCTCAGCCCAAAATCTCCTTAAGCTGATAAGCAACTTCAGCAAAGTCTCAGAATACAAAATCAATGTACAAAAATCACAAGCATTCTTATACACCAACAACAGACAAACAGAGAGCCAAATCATGAGTGAACTCCCATTCACAATTGCTTCAAAGAGAATAAAATACCTAGGAATCCAACTTACAAGGGATGTGAAGGACCTCTTCAAGGAGAACTACAAACCACTGCTCAAGGAAATAAAAGAGGATACAAACAAATGGAAGAACATTCCATGCTCATGGGTAGGAAGAATCAATATCGTGAAAATGGCCATACTGCCCAAGGTAATTTATAGATTTAATGCCATCCCCATCAAGCTACCAATGCCTTTCTTCACAGAACTGGAAAAAACTACTTTAAAGTTCATATGGAACCAAAAAAGAGCCTGCATCGCCAAGTCAATCCTAAGCCAAAAGAACAAAGCTGGAGGCATCACACTACCTGACTTCAAACTATACTACAAGGCTACAGTAACCAAAAACAGCATGGTACTGGTACCAAAACAGAGATATAGATCAATGGAACAGAACAGAGCCCTCAGAAATAACGCCGCATATCTACAACTATCTGATCTTTGACAAACCTGAGAAAAACAAGCAATGGGGAAAGGATTCCCTATTTAATAAATGGTGCTGGGAAAACTGGCTAGCCATATGTAGAAAGCTGAAACTGGATCCCTTCCTTACACCTTATACAAAAATCAATTCAAGATGGATTAAAGACTTAAATGTTAGACCTAAAACCATAAAAACCCTAGAAGAAAACCTAGGCATTACCATTCAGGACATAGGCATGGGCAAGGACTTCATGTCTAAAACACCAAAAGCAATGGCAACAAAAGCCAAAATTGACAAATGGGATATAATTAAACTAAAGAGCTTCTGCACAGCAAAAGAAACTACCATCAGAATGAACAGGCAACCCACAGTAAATATTTATTCTAATGTATTTGGAGATCACCTGATCCAACCTCCTCCATAAGAAGCAGTCACCTATGAAGTGCCTGACACAAAATCCTCAGCCCATGTTTGCTTTTTTTCAGGAAAAGGAAATCTTTATTTGTTTCATTAATCTGTTTCATTTTTGTGTGCTCTTTATTATTAAAAATGTTTTTATTTTTTATACTGAGATAAAATCTGCTTCCAAGTGGAAAGACGGCATGGCATTGTGGGACAAGCATAGGTTTGGGCTCAAAAAATTGGGATTTGGGCCCTCAACTTTTCCACTTTGGGTAAGCCTCAACTTTTCTGAATTTTAGTTTTCCAACCTATAAAATGGTGGTAATGGTAGTGTATGCATTGCCTAACTCTCAAGGTAATTATAAGAACCAAATGATATAATTAATAAGACAGCTCTTTGCAAAGAATAAATCCCAATAGAAAAGTCAGTTATTCCTATTTTACCTTCTGGGACTTCGTAGAGTAATTCTACTCAGTGTTAAAAAACACAATGACACGACTCATTACAACTTCTTTCTTTAGGCTAAAGTGCCCTCTTTTCTTATAAGTTTTAAAAATATAAAGTAGAAGTTTTCATACAAAAACTCCCCCTCATTGCCTCCTGCTAGATCCTCTCTAATATGTCAAATACTGCCTTGAAGCGTCCCACAGAACTGGACCACGACGCAGAATCATCCTTACCAGCATAGAATACACTTGTGTCGTAACTGTCCTTGGCCTGGATCTGCTGTTTTGATCATGAAACCTCAAGGTTTTAGACATTATATATCACTGCTAAGCTATATCGAGTTTGTGTTTGACTGAGAGTCAGGTCTTTTTCATATTAGCTGCTGTCAAGCTACGTCTTCCAAGTACTGTATTCACGTGGTTGTGTTCTTTTAACCTCAATGTAAATCACCACATTAATTTATATTTAATTCATCTTACTGGTTTTAGCCCATTATTCCCATCCATTGAGATTTTCTTGACTTCTTATTTTGATCTACCAATGTCTAACTATTTCCACAAGTTCTATGACATCTGCAAAATAGTAAGCAAGTTCTTGCTGGCATTAGCCACATTATTGGTAAAAATGGTGAATAAGATTAAGGCTTTGGAAGTATCTTTTCTTCTCACTAAAGATTTTTCTTTAAGCTAGATTATTATTGTCATAGTTAATGAACAGCCTATCACAGTTATTGGTGACAGCCCTGCTTCTTCCTAATAGATTGTGAGACCACAGTTTGATCTTCTTAGTATCTCTAAGGCTTAACATAGTGCCTGACAAATATTTGCTGCTTAATAAGAGTTTATAATTGAAGAATGAATGAATGAACTGACATATGTCTATTAATTAATATGCTTTGAACATGATTATTTAACTAGATACATGGCTCATATAATTTAGCCAACATCCAACTTACATTTTCTTTTTTATTTTCATAAGGATATTTACTAAGATTTTGTCATATTTGTCCTAAATCTCTGGAAGCATTCCCTTGATCTACTGATTTAATAACCATTATAGAAGAAAAGCAGATACACTAATATGACTTGTTTTTAGTGAAATCATCCATACTTACTTTTATTTAACACCTATTTCTTTCCTGGATTATTCCTATACTTTTTATGTAATTACTTTCTCTAAACGTTTGCTTCATGACCTCCTAATTACCATGTGTTCCTCCCCATGGGATGTACATTTGTGCAAGTATCTCTCTTCCATCATCATCTTCTCCTTCTTTGCTTCCCATTTTGCTCCTTTCCCTGCTCAATCAATCTTTTTAAGTTAAACAGTTTATTCAGATGCATTATTGAGAATAGGCTCCTCTTTATCTTTAGTTCTCCTGTTCTTATTCAGTTGCTTTCCTACCTTACTTCTTCCTGTTTTTGTACCAAAGTTGAATAAAAGTATAAGTATGTTGAATAAAATTTTGAGCTCCAAGATTTTATTTTATTAAAAAAAAACACAGAAAGAAACATATTTTCTCTCTACCTAAGCAGCACAAAATCTCTCCAACCAATAAAATTACATTTTACTTAAATTCCATTGACAAATGAGTAGGTCAGTTATCCCCAAATGCAGACCCTTTTCCTTCTAGAGAATTTATTGCAACAGAGATCTCTGTAGGGATCTTTCTGAATAATGATGACTTGTGATATTTTATGTCTTCTGTGTTTCTCAGGAGGCTTAGGAGAACATTCTGTTGTCATTCCAAACTCTATTGTATTTACCATCAGCATTTAATTCTTGAGTCGTAGTTTGGGTTTTGTCACAAGAGAGGGCAGGTTTGTCTTAGGCTGGTTTTCTGGTAGTAGAGTTAAATGAGGCCATTGATCAGCATTTATGTTTAGCTTAAGGAAATGTCATCATCTTGTTTGCTTAAACCATAAACACAATCCTCAGCTATTTCCTGTAAAATTTTGCTAACTAGTAATATCTTCTGTAGTGGAAAATATGTGTCATTCTCTTAAAGGCTGTTAAGAACGGAAGTGTGTCCTTGAAAAATTCATATGTTGAATGACTCCCCCATGTGGCTGTATTGAAGATGACACCTAAGGTTGGAACTCTTATCTCATAGAATTGGTGTCCTTATAATAAGAAGAGGAAGAGACCCAGTGTTCTCTCTCCACCATGTGAGGACAAGGCGACAATGTGGCCATCTGCAAGTTGGAAAGAGAGTCCTCCTCAGAACTGGACCCAACTAACGTCCTGATCTCAGACTTCCAGCCTGCAGACTGTGAAAAAATAAATTTTTGTTGTTTTAAGACACAAAGTCTGTGGCTTTTGTTATGGCAGCTCAAGCTGACTAATTCAATGGCTTAATGGTATCTTCATCTGAAAGTAATTAGTAGCTGCATTTCTTCATATGAATTCATAAACTTTACCATAAGTCTGTCAGTCCAAGGGTACCATTAATAGTATGTCATGTTTTGCTCCACATGCCAGCCTTTCTAATAGTTTATCCAAAATTATAATACCTTTTATATTTGGGGTGCTGCTTTTTCTTTTTCCAGTTAAGAAATGTATGAATTTACACTTAGAAAATTGGCTTACTTCATCTGATGTTTTTCAAAGGACAAGATGTAATCTCTGAGTCTTCAATTAATAGAAAAAAAATGTGTGAATCATAAAATCCAAAAAATAATGTTAAGAGAGTCTTTAATTGCAGCCCTGTGAGTTCTACCTCAACCAGTAACTAAATTAATGGGTGATGTACCACTGTGTCTACTACTACTACTACTACCACTGTGATCAGTCAGTGACCTGATCACTCCACAGATGTGAAGTTCTGTACTTCCCCTCAGATACCTCTGAAGCTTTGTTAAGTTCATTTATCAGTTTTTCCTCCTTGAGTGCAGGATCTGTGAAAGGTATTTGTAAAACAATCAAAGTATCTCAGACTCAACAATGCCTCTAACCTTGGAAAATTAATGTAACCTACTAATTTGTGAATGTTAAAAAGTTAATCTTTTGATATCAGTGTAATAAGCTTTAAAAGATGAATAACACTGTCCTTTTCATAGTTATTATAGTTTTCATTAAGATTAAAATAATATAGGTAAAGGTAATTAATTTAAAATATAATAAATTCACACAAAAGGAGAAGCATGAATAAAAAGACTTAACTATATGGCTATAAACAACATGAAAAGGTAAATGGCAAGTTAGGCCAAATATTGGTGACAGGTAGGACAGACAAAGGGTAATTTAAAACATAAAATACAGACATTGCAACAAATACCTAAATGCAAAAATACTATAAATACAGAAAAAAATTAACTATCATTTATATTTTTTAAATTAATTAATTTATTTTTATTTTCTTATTGTTATTTCTTGAAACAGAGTCTCACTCTGTCACCCAGGCTGGAGTGCGGTGGTGCAATCTGGGTTCACTGCAACCTCCACCTCCTGGGCTCAGGTGATTCTCATGCCTCAGCCTCCAGAGTAGCTGGGACTACAAACACTCATCACCACGCCTGGCTAATTTCTGTATTTTTAGTAGAGATTGGGTTTCACCATGTTGCCGAGGCTGGTCTCAAACTCTTGTCCTCAAATGACCCGCCCACCTCAGCCTCCCAAAGTGCTGGGATTACAGGCATGAACCACCATGCCCAGCCGAGTATCATAACAGCACAAACAAACATAAAATGCCTGTCTACAAATCTAAGAAATGTGTGCTGAAAACCATAGAACACTAACGAGAGACTTAAAAAAAAAAACCTATGTAAATGAAGAGATATTCTGTGTTCATGGATGGGAAGACAATTTTGTTAAGATAAATTTTCTCCCCAGATTGGGTTACAGATGCAATTCAGTTCCACAAAAAAATCTTGGCATGATATTTTTGTAGAAATTTATAAACTGATTGTAAAGTCTATATGAAAAAAGCAAAAATAGTTGAATAGCCAAACAATTTTGAAAAAGAATCAGATTGAAGTATTCTCACTACCTGATGTTGTCTTATTATAAAGTGAGAATAATCAAGGTAATACGGTATTGGTAAAAGGACAGACCCACAGACAAAAAAGGAGAAATAGAGAGTCCAGCAATAGATCTACACACCTATCCTATACCCAATGTATTTTTTACAAAGATGAGAAGGCAATTAAATGGAGAAAAAGTAGTTTGTTTTAACAAGTGGTGATGGAACAACAGAATATTCATATAAACATATGTATATGAATATTAAAAATTTACATACATAACATTACAAATATATTTATATGAATATTGCATATTCATATATTTATATGAATATTCAATTGTGTGTATATATATATACACACACACACACACACACCCCCACACACACACCCACACACACACTCTGACCCATTTCTTGCACCATAGGCAAAAATTAACTGAGAAGGGGCGGGGGGCAGTGGCTCATGCCTGTAATCCCAGCACTTTGGGAGGCCGAGGCGGGTGGATCACGAGGTCAGGAGATCGAGACCATCCTGGCTAACATGGTGAAACCTCGTCTCTACTAAAAAAATACAAAAAAATTAGCTGAGTGTGGTGGCGGTCGCCTGTAGTCCCAGCTACTCCGGAGGCTGAGGCAGGAGAATGGCGTGAACCTGGGAGGCGGAGCTTGCAGTGAGCCAAGATTGCACCACTGCACTCCAGCCTGGGCGACAGAGACTCTGTCTCAAAAAAAAAAAAAAAAAAAAATTAACTGAGGTGGGATTATAGGCCTAAATGTGAAACCTAAAACCATAAAACTTCTAAAAGAAAACATAGGAGAAAAATTTTCTCCTTTAAATAGGCAAATATTTCTTAGATAAGACACAGGAAAGTCAGAATCATAAAAGAAACAACTGATAAATTTGACCTAATAAAAAATTTCCTCTTTGAAAAGATACTCTTGGTAAAGACATGTTTTTTGGAAAGATACTATTAGGAGAATGAAAAGATGAGACACAGACTGGGAAAAATATTTGCAAAACACATATCTGATAAAGAACTGCTACCTAGAATATGTAAAGACACTCACAACTCAATAATAACAAAACAACTTCATTTTTATTTATTTTATTTTAATTAATTAATTTTTTAGAGATAGGTTTGCCCCATGTTACCTAGCCTGATCTTGAATGTCTGGCCTCAAGCTATCCTTCTGCCTCAGCCTCCCAAAGTGTTGGGATTACAGGTGTGAGCCACTGTACCAGGCCAACTTCATTTTTAAAACAGGCAAAAGATTTAAAGAACTATTGTACCAAAGAAGAAATAAGAATGGCAAATAAACACAAGGAAAAATGCTCAACATCATTAGTTAACACAGAAATGCAACTTAACACAGAGTGAGATAACATCACATACTTAGTAGAATGACTAAAATGAAAAAGAAACAAAAAACAAGAAAGAGAAAACAAGCCTGAGAATATCAAGTATGAGCAAGGACGTGAAGCAACTGGAACTCTCATTTTTTTTTTTTTTCTTTTGAGACGGAGTCTCGCTCTGCCGCCCAGGCTGGAGTGCAGTGGCGCAATCTCGGCTCACTGCAAGCTCCGCCTCCCGGGTTCACGCCATTCTCCTGCCTCAGCCTCCCAGGTAGCAGGGACTACAGGCGCCTACCACCACGCCTGGCTAATTTTTTGTATTTTTAGTAAAGACGGGGTTTCACCGTGTTAGCCAAGATGGTCTCGATCTCCTGACCTCGTGATCCGCCCGCCTCGGCCTCCCAAAGCGCTGGGATTACAGGCGTGAGCCACCGCGCCCGGCTGCAACTGGAACTCTTATACATGGTTGGTAGCAATAGAAAATGGTACAGTCACTTTGGAAAAGTTTGGCAGTTTCTTATAAAGTTCAATATATGTTTACCCTGCTTCTAGGGATGTAACCACAAGAAATAAAAACATGTCTACACAAAAACTTGTACGTGAATATTTATGAATACTTATTTTTTTTTACTCACAATCACCCAAAACTAGAAATGATGAAAATGTGCATCAACCAGTGAACAGATAAAGAAACTATGTGATATTTGAGTACAGAAAACACTGCTCAGCAATACATTCAAAGGAAAAAAAAGCTACTAATATATCAATAAATTTTAAGTGCATTATTCTCAGTGAATGAAGCCAGATTCCAAAGGCTACATACTGTATGATTTCATTTATATGACATTTTGGGCAAGGCAAAACCACAGAGAAAGAAAACATCAGTGGTTACTTGGGGGCAAGAGTTGCGGAAGGAGGGAGCATGAGGGAACTTCTGAGGGGTGATGAAACTATTCTACATTTTTACTGAATTTAGTGATGAATATGGTGACGGTTACATGACTGTATGCTTTTGTTAAAATTCATAGAAAAGGGTAAGTTTTACTTTCTCTAAATTGTATCTCACAGTTGATCTTAGCCAAAAGGCTGAGAAACGATTCTAAATTGTATCTCTATTAACCTGAAAAAAAAATTTTTAAGGCAATTGAAAAATTAGGCAAAAATATTTTTAATCTGTAGGACAGATAAAATGTTATTTCATATATAACAACTTTTACAAACTTAGAAGAAGATGAATACAACAATCTCTAAATATCCAAAGGATTTAAACTAATCATTTACAGAAGGAAAAATATAATTATACAATCAACATGGAAATTTAAGCTAACTAATAATAAAATACTGTGAATTAAAACATCATATTGTTTTTACCTATCAAACTGACAAAGATTATAGAAAGAAATAATAACTTATGATTGAGGATCAAAGAAGAGGCCACTCTCACACACTGCTGATGAGAGTATAAACTGATACCTTTTTTTTTGAAAGATAATTTGGCAATGTTTTCAAGACCTTGAAATTTTATAATTATTTTGGAAGGAAATTTTATACCAAATTCTTTAAAATATTAAAATAAATATTAAATTAAAAATATTAGGGCAGTGCTTTAAGAGTACCTACAAGATTTTTCATCATATCTAATTGGTAGAAATCTAAATGTTCACTGATAGGACATTGGCTGTGTAAGTTATTCATTCATCCAGTGGAATATCAGTCAGCCATTACGTTTTGGATAACTAGTTATTGGACATTCTTCGCTCTATGTCATGAAATGAAAAAAGCTGATTTTAACACAGTATGAGTAATATGACTCCATATTTATAAATTGATTAATTTAGAGATCTAAAAGAATATTAGATCTATCTATTGTATCTATTGTATTGTATCTAACTATCTCACTAGTTTCTAAGTAGTGGCATAATTATGATATTTAAGATTTCTTACTTATAATTTATTTGTGTATTTTAATTTCTCTACAGTGAACTGTAGAGAAATTATTTTGTTACAATATATTTAAACAATGTGAAGATTTATAAAAATGTGTCAAATTAATGTTAACCTCATCTAAAAAGACTACTTTAGTAGAGTCGAATTGAAGTCACAGGCAGAAAACTTTTAATAATAATAATATTGGGTAGGTACGGTGGCCCGCACCTGTAATAACTGCACTTTGGGAAGTGGGAGGATCACTTGAGCCCTAGGAGTTTGAGATCAGCCTGGGCAATATGGCGAAACCCCATCTCTACAAAAATATACAAAAAATAAGCTGGGCATCATGGCGCATGTCCGTAGTCCCAGCTATTCAGGATGCTGAGGTGGGAGAATCATTTGAACCCAGGAAGTCGAGGCTGCAGTGAGCCGTGATCACACCACTGCACTTCACCCTGCGTGACACAGTGAGACTCTGTCTCAAATAATAATAATAACAATAACAATATTATTATTAATTACTACTACTCATTTAATGGTTGGTACGTTCTAAACACTGCAAAATTCTTTCTATGTCCTCACAGTCCTTACTGTCCTTACAGTAACCCTATCAAATAGGCATCATTATATAACAGACAGCATTATATGCCTATGTGGAAAGATTAAATAAGGAAGATTAAATAACTTCCCTATTGTCACCCAACCAATAAAGGATGAGGTATAGGATTTGAACCTTGATTCATGTTTTGATATGGCCTCTGATACGGCCTCAGTTATCCGTGAAGCAGTTATTAGTTAATTTACAATTAATTATTTGGTTGCCAGTTACTTAATCTACTGGATTATTTAAATCTCTTTCTTTGCTCCTCTCTGCTACCTTTTCCAAATCTTGACTATCTCTGTTGTGGAAAGTTCATTTTATGCATGACACTCCTGTACGAGATCTGATGTAGATGCATGTCAAAATTGTTTGTATTCAGGGCTTGGGTCATTCATCTTTGTATCCAGGTCACTTCCGTCTCCCTTTATCATCAGTCACCAAGAGCACTTCAGCATCAAAAGCATGAACATGTTCTCTTAGATCTTGAGGTAATAGCTTCTCATGTTTTGACATAAGGTTGAATTTTTTTCTGATTATCAATCTAATACCTGTTTATTTATTGGAAAAATTTCTTGACTTTCTATCAGTTAATGGGACTATCAGATGGCACTGGAGAATGAGTATCTCACGACATGCATTTACACACCTTGGCTCCAGTCTCTGCACAAAGCAATTAAACTTGGGGTAATCTTGTGTGTGGCCTGGGGCATTGGATGTCTATAAAAATTAGGCAAATAGCCATCTCCCAGTCACTCTTACCACTTGCTTTATTTTCGTCTGTAGCACTTATCATTATGAGTAATTGTTCTTTCATGTGCTTATTTGTTTATTCTTTGTCCCCTCTATTTGTCTGCATGGAAGCAGGGATTTAGTCTTACTCATTACTATATCCTCAGAGCCTAGAAGAGTGCCTGGAATCTAGTAGGAACTTAGTATTTGTTACATGAATGAATAACTAAATAAAAGAGTGACCACTTATTAGCTGGGTTACATAGAGAAGAGAGAAGAAAAAAAGGTTGTGAGGGGAAAACAGCTGGGTAAGGAGAGTTGTGGAGAATGGGTTAAAATTAAAGAGTTTTAAAAAAACCTGTTCTGCCACAAAGTAGACTAATGTTTTCCATATTAAATGCAGCAAGGCACCATTAGCAAAAATGTAGTTGTGGAGGTTAAAATGCACACCATTGGCATCGTTTTTTTTTTTATTATTATACTTTAAGTTTTAGGGTATGTGTGCACAATGTGCAGGTTAGTTACATATGTATACATGTGCCATGCTGGTGCGCTGCACCCACTAACTCGTCATCTAGCATTAGGTATATCTCCCAGTGCTATCCCTCCCCCCTCCCCCGACCCCACAACAGTCCCCAGAGTGTGATGTTCCCCTTCCTGTGTCCATATGTTCTCATTGTTCGATTCCCACCTATGAGTGAGAATATGCGGTGTTTGGTTTTTTGTTCTTGCGATAGTTTACTGAGAATGATGATTTCCAATTTCATCCATGTCCCTACAAAGGACATGAACTCATCATTTTTTATGGCTGCATAGTATTCCCATTGGCATCAATTTTACATAATTATTGTATTCTTAAGTTTGGGGGAAAAATCTTCAAAGTCCTTAGGAAACCCTAGCCATCCTATCACCAAATTCCAGTTAAAATGAACAATTCAGTGCATGCAAGTGCCTGTTCGTTTTAATTCTCTTCTTCCCTACCTCTTTGTAAAGGTCTAGAACAGTGTGACTAGTGATCAAGGCTCAAAGGGGAAAGCCAGAGGAAGGCCTGGTGAGAGCAGCTTGAAAGACGCTTGAAATCTGTAAACACTAGCCAGTAGTGTTTCCCCTAATTGCATCAGTGTTCTCAGTCCTTTACATTTTCTGATTGTCTGAATTTACCCACAAATTGCAAGCATCCTTTTAGTTTCTGTCTTTGTATCAATTTGACTCAGCTTCCTATAATTCGGCTCATAAGGGGGAAGGGTGAACTAACATTTCTTAACTCCTACTTGTGCCAGATACTGCAGTGAAAATTTTATGTAGGACATCCCATTTAATCCTCACAGTCTCTGGGAGGGAAATGATATTAAACCCATTTAAGAGATGAGAAAACTGGAGCTCAGAAAAGTTAACTATCTTACCTACAGTCATACAGATAACAAATAACAGAGGCAAGATTCAAACAAGTTCTGCCAAAATAACACAATTGTTTGTTTGGGGAGATATGGACTTCGTGTTGCACATAAACCTTCATTTGTTAAATTTTTTTTCTGGGTAAACAGTTTTTAATAGAGCTAAATTTAACGGAGTATTGTAGGCATATCACCTTCTACTCTTTTTGCTAATCATTTTTTTTTTTCCTGAGTAAAGCATCCCACCTTTTCATTCATGTGTATATGTACTTGGTCCTTTTGCTTCAAAGAATACAGTGATCTTGCAGACTTTTAAAATGCCAGTAAAATCCAGACTGAATATGATAAGATTTATGAGAAGTTATATAATCTAAAATGACATTTCTGACCAATTGGATGTTCAGCCCCCGACACCCGCAAACTGTGAGCATGTAGGCTCACAGAGTGGCATGGTTTTGTTTTTTGATGAGGGAGAGAGAAGGTGAGTAAAGATGTAAACCTGAGGACAGGTTAGGAAAAGCTTTGAAGGGAATTCAACCTTTCCCAACTTCTTCCTAAGTCCAAGGGCACGGCACCCCTCTGGTATCCCCGAGCAAACCCTAGTAGTAGCTTGTCAGGGTCCAGGAGAGTGATGAGTACCCCCGACTCCCACCCACAGAGACAGGGCCCTCCAGGCTGCATTCAGCCCCCTTGATGCCTTCCTGTTTCCTCTGTGCCATGTGATCGTCCCCTCTCCACATTTTTAGGTGCAGGATATAAATTTATTAAAATATCTCTCACCTCCTCAAACCAGCTCATCCTTTTGTATTCCTTAAAATCTGTGCTAGGAAGCTTCAAGTCATCTTTGACTCTTTCTGGTTGTTCAAATATCCAATTATTCATGAAATTCTGTCATTAGTAATTTTTTGTTAATTTTTAATTTTTTGTAGAGATGGAGGTCTCACTGTGTTGTCCAGGCTGGTCTCAAACTCCTGGCCACAAGTGATCCTGCCTCAGCCTTCCAAAGTGCTGGGATTACAGGCATGAATCACCATGCCTGGACTGTCATTGGTACTTCTAAGGTTTGTATTGAATGTGCCCCATCCATCCATCCATGTATCCATCCATCCACCCATCCATCCTGTGTATACCTACTGTGTTCCAGATGCTGTACAAAGTACAGGGAATTCAGGGATGATTGACACATGGACCTTGTTTTTGCTTTGAAAAAGCTCAAATTACAGCTCAACACATAAGCCAAATCCCATTGACTAAATATTAAGCCCTTATACCTCAGTGTGGTGGCATTCAGGGACTCCCATTGTCAGGATTTCTAGGGCCTTTCCAGCCTTCTTTTCCACACCTTTCTCCATCCGTATGGTATTCACATCAAACTATTCTGTGATCTTTCACATTTCCACCCTTTGCTGATGCCCAGACTGTGCTTCCCCTCCTGCTGCATCTGGGGAAACTCCTACTCGTCCTCCAAAGTTCAGCTCAAAGGCCAGCTCCTCTTTCAAATTCTATCCGTTATTCACTAGAAATAATCGTTTCTTTGTGTCCTCATAATACTTATGCCTCAAGAATAGAATTTATAACATTAGCTTGGGATAAATGTTCATTATTTATAATTGTTATAATTGTTGCTTCCCCATTAGATTATAGACACCTCAAAGGCAATACATATTCATGCATTCTTTTCTTACCTTTACCACCTTACACGGTAAGTGCTCTGTAAATCTGTTGGCCATGAGAATGTTCAGTATATACATACTACTAAACATTCTGTTGGCTGTGAGAATATATATATACACACACACACATACACACACTGTGAGAATGTTCCATATGTATATATATATGTATATGTATGTTCAGTGTGTGTGTATATATGTATATGTGCATATATATGTATATATGTGTATATATACACACACACTGAACATACATATATATATACACATATGGAACATTCTCACAGTGTATGTATGTGTGTATGTGTATATATATACATATATACGTGTATATATGTGTGTATATATGTATGTGTGTGTATATATATACATATACACACATATATACGTGTATATATGTGTGTATATATATACATATACACACATATATACGTGTATATATGTGTGTATATATGTGTGTGTATATATATATACATATACACACATATATATACATATATACACACACTGAACATACATATATATATATACACACACATATGGAACATTCTCACAGTGTATGTATGTGTGTGTGTATATCTATATACATGTATATATATGTATGTATATATACATATATACACATATGTATATATACGTACCATATATGTATATGTGTATATATACGTATATATACATGTATATATACGTATATATACACATATACATATATACATTTATATACACGTATATATACGTATACATATATATACACGTATATATACATACATATATACACGTGTATATATACGTATACATATATACACGTGTATATATACGTATACATATATACACGTGTATATATACGTATACATATATATACACGTGTATATATACGTATACATATATACACGTGTATATATACGTATACATATATACACGTGTATATATACGTATACATATATACACGTATATATACATACATATATACACGTGTATATACATATGTATATATACGTGTATATATGTATATGTATACATATACGTATATATACATGTATATACACGTATATATACGTGTATATATGTATACATATACGTATATATACGTGTATATATGTATACATATACGTATATATACGTGTATATATGTATACAACATATACATATATACATGTATATATACATATATACATATATACGTATATATGTATGTGTATATATGTATATACCTATGTATGTATATATACACATATATACGTATATATGTATATACCTATGTATGTATATATACACATATATACGTATATATGTATATATATACACATGTTCCATATGTGTGTATATATATACACACACACACTGAACATACTGAACAATACTGAACATATCCTATATATACATGCTGAACATATATACTGAACATATTCAATATATTAATATTCAATACTCAACATACATTCAATATTGAATATATTCATATTGAATTATCTGGTATTAGCATAGTCAGTGCTCATTTATTTTAATGATACTTTCTCAGTAATCCTATGTTTTCAAATTATAGACTATTTCCCCCATCTCATTCTTCTCATTCTTCTCCTGCACTCTACCCCCTTCATTTGTGATGTATAAATCTGTTCCCATCAAATGAATCTGTTCAGGAAAATATTTGCCTGACTGCCGTTGTTGCTTTGAAGAAGAGGTGCCACACATTATATGAACTCATGACTTACAGAGTCCAGATGCAAACCCTGACCTGCCACGTGACCTTGAGACAGTTAAATGACCCTTGCTGTGCCTCGTTTCCTCAGCTGTAACAACAGTAGTTAATAAGGCTGACTTCATAGAGTGGGTGCGAGGAGCAACTGAAACACATGTTGAACATAAAGAATAGTATGTGGCATATAGTGGCACTCAGTAAATGTTAGCTCTAATACCATTTCCAGAAAAATATGTGATGACATTTAGATTTTATAAGAATACAAAGCAGAATAATAACAATTTAGTATGTTTCTTTGGTTGTACCAAAACATTTCCCAAATTGTGTCATTCAATTACTAAATCATTTTTGGATTAATTTTCTTGATATGTTACACTTTAAATGAAATGTTACACAAGGATCATAACTTAAAGCTTGAAATGCTGTCAGATTTTCAGGCATATTAGAAGAAAACTTATCTTCTTCTTACTTATCTCCCTTTAGCCAGTCTCCCCTCACTGGCATTCTCATTGCATTGGCATGCTTTAACCATTTATCCTGGTGTCAAAATTCTTTATCATCTTTCACTTAAACTTGATTTCATCACCTTTTAAAGTTTTGTTCAAAATGCTGCTGCTCCAAAAAGTCTCTGATTGATTCCACCTGACTGACCGTAGAGACCCAAAGAATAGAAACTCTTTGGACCTCGCACTGGTTGTCACATTATTTAGAATTTGTTCACCGTTTCCTTCATCAATCTTCATTACTTTCTTGTAAATACTTTAAGTCAATCCCATAAATTCCTCTCTGAAACTAGATATTCAGTTCTCTGAGACTGAGTCATTTTTTTTTTCTTAGAATTTTCCACAACACTTTTTGCAATGCACAATACTGGATGAAATTTCTGTTAAGAGTGCGGTGGCTCACACCTGCAATCCCAGCACTTTGGGAGGCCGAAGCGGGCGGATCATGAGGTCAGGAGATCGAGACCATCCTGGCTAACACGGTGAAACCCCGTCTCTACTAAAAATACAAAAAATTAGCCGGGTGTGGTGGCGGGCGCTTGTAGTCCCAGCTACTGGGGAGGCTGAGGCAGGAGAATGGCATGAACCCGGGAGGCGGAGCTTGCAGTGAGCGGAGATTGTACCACTGCACTCCAGCCTGGGCAACAGAGCCAGACTCCATCTCAAAAAAAAAAAAAAAAAAAAAAAAAAAAGAATAAAAGATCCTGTCTGAATGTGGTGGCTCACATGTGTAATCCCAGTGCATTGGGAGGCTGAGGTGGGAGTGTCCCTTGAGGCCAGGATTTCAGACCAGCCTGAGCAACATGGTGAGACTTCATCTCTACAAAAAATTTTTAAAAATTAACCAGGTATGGTGGTGTGTACCTGTGGCTCTAGCTACTCAGGAGGCCAAGGCAAGAGGACTGCTTGGGCCCAGGAATTCAAGGCTGCAGTGGGTCATGATCACACCACTCCAGCCTGGGGAACAGAATGAGACCCTGTCTCTAAAAAAAATAATTAAATTAAATTAAATTAAATTAAATTAAATTAAATTAAATTAAATAGAACATCCTGAAATTTCTAAAAAAGGAATATGAGAAGACTATCACACAACTGTACAGTTGGATGGATGCTAAGGAAGTTTCTCACGGAGCACATTGATTCATGTATAACACAGAAGTAGAGAATATAAACAAAACTGAAGATGAAGAAAAATCAACTCAACTCATAGGAGCCAGTTGTCAATTGTATCCATAAATTTACTCACTCACTCATTCTGAATGTTATGCCAGGTTCTATGGAAATTCAAAATGAATAAGGCATTGTCTTTACCTTTACGAAGCTTGCAATTGTGAAATGATGGTTAAGGGGAAGAATTACCAACAATCCACTAGGAAGAATGAAATAAACACTGTAAGAAAGGTGTAAGTTCAAGGGCTTATAGTCAATGAAGATAGACAAATCTGTCCTCCCCTCCAAACCTACTATCTGCATTTGTGTTCATATTCTCTTGACTTTCATTATTGTTACCATGTATGGATGAATTATCCATGATCCTATGAAAGCCCAGCCCCTTCTTATGTGTAGTTGATCCCATCTTCTCTTGCTTACTCAAAGACAGGACTCAGCTGGGTGTGGCGGCTCACGCCTGTAATCCCAGCACTTAGGGAGGCCGAGGCAGATGGATCACTTGAGATCAGGCATTCACAACTAGCCTGGCCAACATAGTGAAACCTCGACTCTTCTAAATATACAAAAAAATCAGCTGGGCGTGGTGGCACATGCCTGTAGTGCCAGCTACTCGGGAGGCTGAGGCAGGAGAATCACTTGAACCTGGGAGGCAGAGGTTGCAGTGAGCTAAGATCATGTCACTGCACTTCAGCCTGGGTGACAGAGTGAGATTCAAGAAATAATAATAATAAAATAAAAATGAATGAATTAATTAAACATATATAAATGATAGTTAATTTTTTCCCTATATATATAGTATTTTTGCATTTAGGTTGCACTGGGTTGTTTCCACCTTTTGGCTATTGTGAACAATGCTTCAATGAACACCAGTGTACAAATATCTGTTTAAGTCTCTGCCTTAATTCTTTTGGCTACATACTTAGAAGTGAAATTGCAGGTCATATGGTAACTCTATATGTAGTTTTTTGAGGAACCATCAAACTGTTTTCCACAGGGGCTGCACCACTTTACATTTTCACCAGCAATATATGAGAATTCCAATTTTTCTACACCTTGTTAACACTTGTTGTTTAGTTTTCTTGATGTTAGTAATTTTAGTAGATGTGAGGTGGTATCTTCTTATGGTTTTGATTCACATTTCCCTAGTTATTAATGATATTAACCATCTTTTCATGTGCTTATTTCCCATTTGTATCTTTTCTTTGGAGAAATCTCTTAAGCCCATTTTTAAACTGGGTTGTTTATATTTTTGTTGTTGAGTTAATATGAGTTATTTACATATTGGAGATATTAAACTCTTAACAGATATATGACCCGCAAATATTTTCTCCCATTCGGTAAGTTGTTTTTTGCTTTCATTATAATGCCTTAGATGCACAAAAATTTTAAGTTTTGATGAAATTTTATCTATTTTTTTCTTCCGTTTCCCTTGCTTTTGGTGTCATATCTAAGACTGCCAAATACATGGTCATGAGGATTTACACTTATCTTTTTCTAAGAGTTTTGTGAGTTTCAGTTCTAATATTTTGGTCATTGATTTTGAGTTAATTTTTGTATATGGTGTGAAGTAGGGGTCCTACTTCATTATTTTTCATATGGAAATCTAGTTGTCCCAGCATCATCTGTTAAAGAGAGTACTCTTTCCCCCTTGGATAGATTTGACACGTTTGTCATAAATCAATTGACCATAAATGTATGTGTTTATTTTTGGACTCTAAATTCTCTTCCATTGGTCTATATGTCTGTCTTTATGCTATAACCACACTGTTTTGATTACTGTAGCTTTGTAGTAAGTTTCGAAATTGGGTAGTTTGAGTCCTCCAACTTCGTTCTTCTTTTTGAAAATTGTTTTGGCTAATTGGGGTTCCTAGAATACCGTATGAATTTGAGAATTGGCTCTTTCATTTATGCAAAAATATCTGTTGGAGTTTTGTTAGGTATTGCATTGAATCTGTAGATTGCTTTGGATAGTACTTATGACTTGACAATATTAAGTCTTATACTCATGAACATGGGATGTCTTTCCATTAATTTGGGTCTTTTAAAATTTATTTCAGCAGTGTTTCATAGTTTCCAGTGTATACAATTTTCACCTTCTTGGTTAAATTTTATTCCTAGGTATTCTATTCTTTTAGATGTTATTATCTACATTCCCCAAGTAGCATTTTTAAAAAATTAGAAAAGATGTTATTATAAATGAAATTGTTGTGTTATTCCTTTTCAGATTATTCATTGCTGGTGTACACAAACAACTGATTTTTGTGTTGATCTTGCACCCTGCAATTTTGCTTAATTAGTCAATTATTAGCTCTAGTAGCTTTCGTGTGTATTCTTTGGAGTTTTTCTACATACAGGATTATGTTCTCTGTAAACACAGATAATTTTACCTTTCCAATTTTAATACCTTTGTTTTTCTCATCTAATTTCTCTGGCTAGAACAGTCAGTAAATTGTTGAATAGTGATGGTGAAAGTGGGCATCATTGTTTTATTCCTGACTTTAGAAGGGAGATACTTTGTCATTCACCATTAACTGTGATGTTAACTGAGGTTTTTTCATAAATGCCTCTTACCACGTTGAGGAAATTTACTTCTATACCTAATTTTCTGAGAGATTTTGTCATAAAAAGATGTTGGATTTTGTCAAATGCCATTTCTTTCTTAATTGAGATGATCATGTAGTTTCCCATCTCCCTCAATTCTATTAATGTGATATATTGATTAGTTTTATTATGCTAACCCCCCTTGCATTCCTGGGATAAATCTCAGTTATGGTGTGTAATGTTCTTAATATGTTGTTGGATTCAGTTTCCTAGTATTTCGTTGAGGATCTTTGCATTTATATTCATAAGGGATACTGGGTCTGTAATTTCCTTTTCTTACGATGTCTTTATCTGTCTTTGGTATCACAGTAATTCTGGCTTTATAGAATGAGTTGGTGCTTCTGCCTTTTGTTTTTTAAAGAATTTGAGAAAGACTGGTGTTAATTCTTCTTTACGTGCTTGGTAAAATTTACCAGTGAAGCCATCTGGTCCTGGACTTTTCTTTGTTGGGAGGTTTTGATTACTGATTCAATCTATTTACTTGTTTTAGGTCTGTGGAAATTTTCTACATTTTCTTGAATCAGTTTAGGTAATTTGTATGTTTCTAGGAATTTTCCCACTTCATTTAGGTTATCTAGTTAGTTGGTGTACAATTGTTCGTGGTACTCTCTTCTAATAGTTTTTTTTTTTTGTATGGTTGGTGGTAATATGCTCACTTTCATTTTTTATTTTATATATTTGCATCTCCTTTCTTTTTTCTTTTTCAGTGTATCATTTTTTTCTTATCCTTCTTCCTTCTCACTCCCCTTTATTCCTCTTCCTTTATTATTCTTCCTCCTCAGACCCCATACAGGTCTCCTCACTTTCTGTCCTTTCCCATTCCCCTCCCCACAAACCCTCTTCTTCTCCTCTGCTTCTTTCCTTCCTTGTTCCTCTGCTTTCTCTACTGCTTCTAAATTACTCCTATTAGAAGGGAAACATGATGTATAGTCACCCACCTTAAAAATAAAACCCTCTCTTTTGGTGTTTTAGACATGAAGTCCTTGCCCATGCCTATGTCCTGAATGGTGTAGCCTAGGTTTTCTTCTAGGGTTTTTATGGTTTTAGGTCTAACATTTAAGTCTTTAATCCATCTTGAATTAATTTTTGTATAAGGTGTAAGGAAGGGATCCAGTTTCAGCTTTCTACACATGGCTAGCCAGTTTTCCCAGCACCATTTATTAAATAGGGAATACTTTGCCCATTTCTTGTTTCTGTCAGGTTTGTCAAAGATCAGATGGTTGTAGATGTGTGGTATTATTTCTGAGGGCTCTGTTCTGTTCTATTGGTCTATATCTCTGTTTTGGTACCAGTACCATGCTGTTTTGGTTACTGCAGCCTTGTAGTATAGTTTGAAGTCAGGTAGCATGATGCCTCCACCTTTGTTCTTTTGGCTTAGGAGATATGAACAGACACTTCTCAAAGGGAGACATTTATGCAGCCAACAGACACATGAAAAAATGCTCATCATCACTGGCCATCAGAGAAATGCAAATCAAAACCACAACGAGATACCATCTCACACCAGTTAGAATGGCAATCATTAAAAAGTCAGGAAACAACAGGCACTGGAGAGGATGTGGAGAAATAGGAACACTTTTACATTGTTGGTGGGACTGTAAACTAGTTCAACCATTGTGGAAGACAGTGTGGTGATTCCTCAAGGATCTAGAACTAGAAATACCATTTGACCCAGCCATCCCATTACTGGGTATATACCCAAAGGATTATAAATCATGCTGCTATAAAGGCACATGCACACGTATGTTTATTGCGGCACTATTCACAATAGCAAAGACTTGGAACCAACCCAAATGTCCATCAACGATAGACTGGATTAAGAAAATGTGGCACATATACACCATGGAATACTATGCAGCCATAAAAAAGATGAGTTCATGTGTTTTGTAGGGACATGGATGAAGCTGGAAACCATCATTCTCAGCAAACTATTGCAAGAACAAAAAACCAAACACCACATGTTCTCACTCATAGGCGGGAATTGAACAATGAGAACACTTGGACACAGGAAGGGGAACATCACACACCGGGGCCTGTTGTGGGGTAGGGGGAGGCGGGAGGGAAAGCATTAGGAGATATACCTAATGTAAATGATGAGTTAATGGGTGCAGCACACCAACATGGCACATGTATACATATGTAACAAACCTGCACGTTGTGCACATGTACCCTAGAGCTTAAAGTATAATAAAATAAAAATAAAAAAATAAAACCCTCTCTTGATCATTTCCCTTCCAGCTCTTGCTCCGATTTTCTACTCTACTATATAGCAAAATTCCTTGAGTCATCGATACCAGCTATCTCCAATTTCTCTTCTCCAATTTTCTTTTGAAGTGAATTCAGTAAGGGTATTACTGACACAGCTCTTGTCTAAGTTAATAATGATCTTGGCCAGGCACAATGGCTCATGCCTGTAATCCTGGCACTTTGGGAGGCCGAGGCGGGTGGATCGCCTGAGGTCAGGCATTTAAGATCAGCCTGGCCAACATGGCAAAAACCAGTCTCTACTAAAAATAAAAAATAAAAAATAAAGTTAGCTGGGTATGGTGATGTGTGCCCCTAATTCCAGCTACTCAGGATGCCGAGGCAGGAGAATCGCTTGAACCTGGGAGGTGGAGGTTGCACTGAGCCGAGATCATGCCACTGCACTCCAGCCTGGGCAACAGAGCAAGACTTCACCTCAAAAATAAATAAATAAACAATAACTTCTACAGTGCTGTATCCAATGATCACTCCTGTCCTACCTGGCCTATCAACACCACTGGATGCAGTCGATTAATTCCTTTTCCTTTAAAGACTTTTTTTTTTTTTTTTTTTAAAAACTTGGTTTCTAGAACATCATACTCTCCCAGTTTTTCTCTTACCTTGCTCATCTCTCTGTCTTAGGTTTCTTTGTTGATTCCTCCTTGACTTGCTGACCACTAAATATTTGAGCGCTTCATATCTCAATCCTCAAAACTCTTCTCTATCTCCTTTTCCTCTCGGAGTGATCTCTTCCACCCTCATCACTTTAAACACCATCTAAACACTGAAGGCTCCCAAATATATATTTCCAGTTCTGACATTCTCTTTGCTAAACTGTAGGATACCCAACTGCCTTTTCAACATCTCTATTTGTATATCTATCATCTCAAACTTAATAAACTCCCTGTCTTCCTCCTCAAACCTTCTCTTCCTTCTGTCTTTCCCATTTCAGTGAATGCCAACCCACCCTTTCAGCTGTTCAGGCCGAAGAAACTTCACAGTCATTCAAGACTCCCCTTTTTCTCTGCATCTAATCCATCAACAAATCCTGTTGGATCTTGAAAATATATGAAATCGGACTACTCTCCCCACCTGCACAGTTATCACATCATGATCCAAGCTATTATCATCTTGCTTTATTTTAATAACCTCTTAATTGATCTCCCTGATTTACTTTTTATCTGTTTTCCATAGTGCATCAGAATGTTCTTTTTGAAACCTAAATCGGTTATTTCACTACTCAAAATTCTCCAATGTCCTCCTATCTCACCCTAAGTAAAAACCAGTCTCCTACAAAGCTCTATAAGATCTGCTCCCTGTTAAACCTCTGACCTCACTTCCTACTCTCTACCTAGAGTCCACAGAGTTCCAGCCTTATTGGTGCTTGCTGTTCTCTCCGCGAGAAGGCTCTCCTCTTTGATAGCCTTGGCTCACCTCTCCTCCTTCAGGAATTTGCAGCCATCCATTCTATCTCCACTTCCATCCTGGCCTCTCTAGGTCCCTTTCTTGCCCTTTTTCTCTATAGCACTCATCACCATCTGACATGCTGTGTTTTACTTTTTTGTGTGTTTATTTGCTGTCACTTTAACAATAATTTAAGCTCCAAGAAGGCAAATATATCTTCTTGATTTTTTTTCTTTTTGCTCCTATATCCATGGCACCCACAATAATCCCTAATATGATAAGTGAATAAATCACATCCTGATAACATGATCCATAATCTTTACTGTTACCATTAATGATCACCTGCGTTTCACCTAATTATTAACAAATCTATTCATTGTTCAACTCAATCATTTTATAATTGAAGAAACAGAAGCCCATAGGGGATAAGTGACTTACCTAGGTTTATGCAAAGATTTCTGGAAAGTGCGTGAATTATGAGTTAGGACTCTTTACCTTCACTTTCCAGATGGTCTAGGAGAAGCAATCACTACAACAAAGCAAAAACCAGAGAGTAGAGTGACAACCATTTATGTAAGTCTTTCTCAAACTGCTTGGCTTCTGACCTCAAAAAGGAAAATCATTTTGGTTTGGTAATTCAGACTCACTGCTCTGGATTAATTCCATACCCTCTGTCTTCTTTCTGTGTTAGAAGTGATGCGTTTTCCTGGCCACAATTAGCAGACCCATCTTTATATTTCCCAACTGAGCATGAAACCACTTCATGCTCTGTTAGTTCCCAGGAACATTTAGGCAATGCCAGACAGGAGTGTTAGATGCTGGGTCATTTGGGATCATGGAACTGCCAAGTTGTAAGGAAACATGAGGCTCACTCAAGCCAACCTGGTTTTACAGCTGAGGATCTTGAAGTCTGGGGGCCAGGGAATGAGAGGAAAAGATCACACGGGTCTCCTCACTTTCCGGGCAATGTTATGTCCACTAACTAATGTTATGTCCACTTCCTGCCAATGATTAGTTTTGTACATTTTTTCTTCTTAAGTAATCACTGAATCTCTTTTGTAACTAGAAACTTAATTTTCAATCTCCAATTATAGGTTATAAATTTGTTATCTAGGGAAATAAGTTTTGTTTCCCCTGGAGTATTACTAAGCTCAGGTCTTAATTAGCTAGAATGAATGATGCATTGTAAGAGTTTTTGGGTTTCCTGTGCCCTGCTCCTCAGACCCCATCCACAGGGGGCTTTCCCTATTGCTTAGGAAGAGATGCAAGTACAATGTGCTGAGAGGTAGAAATGGGTAGTCAAATACTGCATGTTCTCACTTATAAGTGGGAGCCAAACAGTGGGTACACATGGACATACAGAGTGGATAATAGACCCTGGAGACTCTGAAAGGTGGGAGCGGAGTGAGAGCTGAAAAATTACCTGTTGGGTACAATGCTCACTATTCGGGTGACAGGTGCACTAAAAGCCCAGGCTTCACCACCATGCAATATATGCATGCAAGAAATCTGCACTTGTACACCCTAAATATATAAACACAAAACACACACAGACACAGACACATGACAATGTGCTGAGAGGCCTGAGTAAATGGCTGTGAGCCCCACCCCCAAGGGCATCACTAACAGAGATGTTACATGACCAATTTAGTATTAGTTTGCTGCAAAAGTCATTGCGGTTTTTGCCATGACTTTTGATGGCAAAAACTGCAATAACTTTTGCAGCAGCCTAATACTTAGCGGACTTAGATTTGTGAAGCACTTGACAGTGTACACAGGGCACTTACACAAAGAGTCATTTGAAATCCTTGGCAACTCTGTGAAGTGGGTGGGAATGATACTATAAGTTTTATAAAATTGATGAGAAAACTAAGATTTAGGATATTATGTAAGTTTTCTAGGGTCATTTAACTAGAGAATGGCAAAACAGCCACTGACCCAAATTTTCATGGCAAATTTCTAGGATGTAAGTAAAGGCACGGTAGGCCCAGGTGAAGTCAATATTTCATTTTAGGGTAATTCCTAGTGTACTTTGACTTTTCCAGCATTTTTCTACCAAGAAGGTGAGATATAATTTCTTTCCCTGCCTTTGACCGCTGTAAAAGCTGTTGGCCTGTATGGTGCCTACTAATTGAGAGCAGAAAAATTGGAGAAATTTAGAGGCATGAGGTTGCAAATACTCGTACATTAAAAATGGACAGTGGATGAATGAAATTTAACCTTTAAAAATCAATACCAACATCGTAAAAAGCATAACTTTGGAAATTTGCCATGGCATCATCATGGTCATTATTGATATCCAAATACTGAATGACCTAATTCATACTCTGGGGAGGAAGGGATATAGTCAGAAGGAAAACTATCTATGTAGACATCTCAAAATGACCTAAGTATTGTATAATAAAGTGATATATACAGTAAATTCAGATTATGAACTAATTTCTTGGCAGCCTTTGGGATTTGCTGCTGAAAACTTCAAACACATGTTTTGTTGATTTAGCAGATTTCCCTAGTTTGAAATTTCTCCTCAGAAGGTAAGAAAAATAAAGTCATTGCTATGATTGAAAGACTGAGCTGGATTCTTTTGTTTAAAAGCAGGAATGCTTTCACTCATTTAGGTAAAGACATTCAAATCACTTCACGTTAGCTTCTTTAGAGCAAACTGTAATTGGTTTCTCAATAAACAGGAGAAAAAGATCATTAATGTCCACTACAAACTGAAAAGAACAGAGGATAAGCCTTGCCCCTATTCAGGTGAATAGGGGCTCTTTACAGAGCCCTTGGCTCCTGCCCTGGTCCATATCCCACTTAAAGACTGGGAGGGCAAAGTAAAAATAATTCTGAGTGTCTTCTGGTGTGGCAGATCCATGAGTTCTCCCCACTCTCTATCCTGTGATTAGCTGAGCTGGATCTCTTTAGCCCACCTTCAAATCGATCTTCTGGGACTATACTCCTTCTCCCAGAGGAAAAAGGGCACATGTCCTCCCAAATAGTGTGAACTCTTTCAGGCAAGGAACTCATTCATCTTTTCAGAAACCAGCATAGTGTTTGGCATATATAGAATACATTAAATAATGAATGAAAAGATGACTTAATTTTAAGAGTTTTTGTGGATACAGCTACTACATTTCCTTTAATGAAAGCCAAAGATAGGCATCACTGAGTAATAAGTAGTTTAAGTAGTTTATGTGAAGGCTTATAATAAATAGATAAGAGTTTAGGTGTTTTCTATGCTTGTGAAGACAAAGCTGGAGAGTTGGGCTATTTCATGTCTAAGTTACTTAAGAGCAAAACATAAACAGGAAGAAAGCAGCTAGCTGTCTTTTTGCATGTTGCAATGACAGAATTCAGACATGCTTAGAAAAACAACTGACTGCAAATATTCTTCCGAATAAGGAAGACTGGATGCTGGGGAAAGCTTCTGAAAACATTTCATACTGGGACTTTTCACAACTTTCCCAACCTTGGAGGTTTTAAGAGAAATATTTTATGTGGTCTTTGGTCTCTGCTTACAAAATATGGCAGCCTATTCTTGAACAAAAAGAGGTGTTTCAGGATGTCTGGTAATTGAATAGTGGTTTGCCTTCTTGACTTTTTAAAATATGTAAATTAAACTGATCACAAAACCATTTTTGTTTTTGGACATCAATAAAGACCTATTCCTTAGTATTCTCTTCTCTGATTTCTATTCTTATCCTCTAAAGAGACTTTTCAAATGTCAAGAATGATACTCTTTTTTTTTTTTTTTTTTTTAAATTAAACCCAAGAGCCCTTTTTTGGTTTTTGTTTCCCATGATCTTGTAGAACGACCTTCTTCTTCTTGAACTCTCCTCTTTTCCAATTTTCAAGACATCACTACTCTAGACTGCCTACCTCCTTGATAGTTCCTCAGCTCATTACTGTGAGCAATTCCTTGGGCTCAGTTTTGACTTCTGGCCTCTTCTCTTTATATCCTTCCCATGAGAGCTCATCCACTCAAGCCTCTGCTCTTCCTTCCCTGCTATGTGGATGCTTCTGAATTTATATTGCTATACAGTCCATGCCTTCACAGGATATTTTCCTTGATCAGTTCTCCTTCAACTTGACTTAACAAGTGTAAAGCAAAACTCATTGTCTTAACCCCTAAACTAAGTTCCCTTCCAGTTTGTTCTCATCAGGGAAACATTCTTCTGCAGCATTATCCTTCATTCCTCATAACCAGCTAGACATTCAATTCTGCAGACTTTTTTCTTTGAAATGTCTATTATATCTCTTTCTTCCTCTTTTGTGTGCACCACCATCACACAAGTCACACAATGGATTATTGCACCAATTTTCTGGCTGGTCACACAGAATTTATCTGATCAGTCAATATATCTGGTCTCCTTCTTTCCAGTATGCTTGCATCATGGTACCCACCTTATCAAATATTTTTACTGGCCTTATTTTCATTCAATAGAACAATCTAAATCCTCTGTGTGGTAAGTTCCAGGGACTAGAAGTGGTTGTTTTAGTAAAATTAGAGAGAGGGATGGAGAGGGAACATATGCACAAGATGAGGCCAGGGAGGTCTTCAGGGCTATAAGGCACATATTAAAGATTCTGGTTTCTACCTTAACATAAATGGGGAGTCTGTAACATATGTTAAGAAATGAAGGGTATATATGTAACATGATCAGTGTGCATTAAAAAAAAAACACCAGCTGGACGTGGTGGCTCATGCCTGTAATCCCATCACTTTGGGAGGCTGAGGCAGGCAGATTGCTTGAGGTCAGGAGTTCAAAACAAGCCTGGCCAACATAGTGAAATCCTGTCTCCAATAAAAATACAAAAAAATTAGCTGCATGTGGTGGTGTGCACCTGTAATCCCAGCTACTTGGGAGCCTGAGGCAGGAGAATCGCTTGAACCGGGGAGGCGGAGGTTGCAGTGAGCTGAGATCATGCCATTGCACTCCAGCCTGGGTGACAGAGTGAGAGTCCATCTCAAAAACAAAATAAAACAAAAACAAACGAACAACAACAACAACAATTGCAAAATGAAGAATGGGTTTTAAGGTGACAATAGTGGAAGCAAAACGACCAGTTAGGAATCTATTGCAATATTGTAGTCCTCCCCTTATCCATGGAGACTATATTTTGAGACTCCAAGAGGATGCCTGAAACCTTAGACTGTACAAAGCCCTATATATACTATGTTTTTTCAATATGATAATTGAGATGGCTATTAAGTGACCAGTGGATGGGTAAGGTATACAGCATGGATACGCTGGACACAGGGATGATTCATGTCCTGGGCAGGATGGAATGGAAAGGCAAGATATTTCATTGTGATAATCAAAGTGGCACAAAACTTAAAACTTATGAATTGTTTATTTCTGGAATATTTCACTTAATATTTCTGGACCTCATTTGACCATAAGCAATTGAAACCATGGAAGGTAAAACCTTAGATTAGGGAGGACTACTGTAGTTCCGACAAGAGATGATGATGGTTTTGGCAAGTGTGGTGGTGAGGGGTATAGAGAAAACCAGATGCATTTAAGAGTTTAAAAAATAGTTTCAAGAAACTGAGTGTGGCTACAGACACTGACATTTTTAAAAAGGCCACATAGTGAGAAATGGCAGAAAAAGACACATACAAATTTCATCAGTGGAACAAAGGAGGGAGTCATCAACTATAGTTCAGATAAATCAGAGAAGACCTCACAGAGGAGGAGGCACTTGAACAGGGTCTTTGAAGATGATTAGGCATTAGATAGATGGAACAGGAAAGGACATTATATTCCAGGCAGAGGAAAGGGCACTGGCAAAGATACAGAGGGATACAACATCATAGTGTGCTCGGGAAATTCTGAATATTTAAATGTGACTGATATGTAGTGTACAAGGGTGAGGCAGTGACAAAAATAATGGGACAAGGATTAGTGTGCATATCCAGAACGACTTTGGATTTTACTCTGTGTGGTTGGAGAGTCATTAAAGAATCTGGGACAGCAGAGGGTCATGATAACATTTGCATTTGCAATCGCAATCATCACTTCAGTATCAATGAAGAGAATGGGTTAGAGGAAGAATTGACTGGATCCAGGGAGACCAGCTGAGGAGGCTCTTATGTTGGTCTAGGTTAAATATGATGATGACATGATATAGTTTGGATATTTGTCCCCACTCACCTCTCTTGTAGAAATGTAATCCCCAATGTTGGAGGTGGGGCCTCATGGCAGGTGTTTTCATCATGGTGGCAAATCCCTCATGAATGGTTTGGGCCATCCTCTTGGTGATAAGTGAGCTCTCCCTCTGAGTTCGCATGAAATATGGTCATTTAAACATGTGTGGCACCTCCCCTACCCCAACTCTCTCTCTCTTGCTCTTGCTTTTGCCAAGTGATATGCAAACTCCTGCTTCACCTTCTGCCATAAGTAAACGCTTCCTTAGGTCTCCTCAGAAGCAAGATGCCAGTGCTATGCTTCCTGTACAGCCTGCAGAACTATGAGCCAATAAACCCTCTTTTCTTATAAATTACCCAGTATCAGGTATTTATAGCAATGAAAGAACAGCCTAATACAGAGAATTGGTACCAAGGAGTGGGGCTTTTCCATAAGGATACCTGAAAATGTGGAAGCAGCTTTAGAATTGGGTAACAGGTAGAGGCTGGAAGAATTTGGAGGGCTCAAAAAAAGACAGGAAAATGAGCGAAAGTTTGGAAGTTCTTAGAGTCTAGTTAAATGGTTGTGACCGAAATGCTGATAGTGATATGGACAGTGAAGTCCAGCCTGCTGAAGTCTCAGATGGAAATGTGGATCTTATTGGGAACTGGAGCAAAGGCCACAAGTATTATGCCTTAGCAAAGAACTTGGCTGCATTGTTCCCATGCCCTAGAGATCTGTGGAAGTTTGAATTTGAGAATGATGACTTAGGGTATCTGGCAGAAGAAATTTCTAAGCAGCCAAGCATTCAAGATGTGGCCTGGCTGCTTCTAGCCATTTGATAAAATGTGGGAGCAAAGAAATGACTTAAATTTGGCATTTATATTTAAACAGAAAGCAGAGAATAAAAATTTGAAAAATGTGCAGGCTGGCCATATGGCAGAGAAAAAAAAATGTTTTTCTGGGAGAAGAATTCAAGCAGGCTACAGAGCAACTACTTGTTAGAGATATTTGTAAAATGAAAAGGGAGCCAAGTGCTAATATACAAGAAAACAGGGAAAAGGCCTTGAAGGCATTTCAGAGACCTTCACAGCAGTCCCTCCCATCACAGACCAAGACAACGGAAGAATGGTTCTGGGGACCAGGCCTAGGGTCTTACTGCCCTGTGCAGTCTCAGGACACTGCTTCCCGCATCCGGCCCACTCTACCTCCAGCTTCAGCTTAGAGGACCCCCGGTAGAGCTCGGGCCACTGCTTGGAAGGGCACAAGTCATAAGCCTTGGCAGCTTTCATGTGGTGTTAAGCCTATAGGCATGTAGTGCAAGAGTGGTGGAGGGTTGGCAGCCTTCCTCTAGATTTCAGAGGATGTTTGGAAAAGCCTGGGTGCCCAGGCAGAAGCTTGCTGCAGGAGCAGAGCCCTCAGAGAACCTGGGTTGGGCAGTCAGAGGGGAAACATGGGGTTGGAGGCCCCACACAGGGTCACCACTGGGCAGTACCTAATGGAGTCATAGGAACAGGGGCCACTGTTTTCCAAACCCCAAAATGGTAGATCAACTGGCAGCTTGCACTCTGCACCTGGAAATGTCACAGGCTCTCAACAACCTCTGAGAGCAGCTACAGGAGATGCACCCTGCAGAATGCAGGGGTAGAGCTGCCCAAAGCGTAAACCTCTTTTCTTATAAGTTACCCAGTCTCATATATTTCTTTATAGCAAGGCAAGAACAGCCTCATACAGGGCAGTAATTAAGGCAGTCACAGTCGAGAGGGTAAGGAAAGAACAGAATAAGGAAATATATAGATGACAAAATTGGCAGAAGTTCTGAATAATTATGTAGGGGCAACGAAGGAGAAGGAGAAATCTAAACCCTATTCCAGGTTTCTGGTGTAGGTAACTGGGCAAGTGATGGGGCCATTAACCAGAACAGGGACACATGTAGGGGGACACATTCATTCAATATAATGAATTTCATTTGGGACCTGCTCTGGAACTCTACATGGAGACGTCTGGTAGATAGTTGAATAAAACAGTTTGGAGCCAGGAGTAAGATGTGGACTAGATTCTAAGTGAAGAAGATACCTATGGTCAAGAGTCCTGCTCCTTTTTCTGGTAAATCTCCTAGTGTATCCCTTCAGTTCTTTGTATATATGGTAGACATTCAATAAATGGTTAAATGATAAATGAATCCAAGTGAAAATTTAAGAGTGAATCTTACGAGTACTAAAATCTGAACAAGGCAGATGAAAAACTTTTAAAACAGCAACTCTACTATTATCAATGATTTTTCTTGTATATGTTCTTCATCAAATTATAAACCCCTTAGGGGAAGAAACCAGGCCTCATTAATCAAATATCCACTTACTAGATTCCTTCATAATAGAAAATACCTATTTGGTAAACAGTTTTTGAATGAATGAAATAACAAATAGAATGTAGTCAGAAGATATGGAAAAGAGCTTCTTAGACTTAGGTAGTGCACAGAGGTCATGCAGTGAGTTCAGATAATTACTGTACAGTTTCATGAAATCTTTCCTGATTACTTTCAAAATTCATTTATGTGGGGAACTTGAATAACACTATTTTAATGTGCACTACTCTGTGAGACAGTGTTCTAGATAGTAACAACAAGCTAGAGACACTACCATAAGTTTAATTGTTTTATGACCTTCCTGGAGTATTGTCTCCCCAAACTGTACTTTATAGCTTTGTCTGAAGACATTATAAAGACTACTATTACATTACTGTTGTGAGAGTAGATTCTATGTAGATTTTAAGGCACTTTAGGACAGCATCAAGCTCATAGTAGAAGAGAAAAGAGAAAAACTGGCTGCTAATTCAGCTTGGTAAATCTTAGGGCATTTACAGTACAGATGCAAGGTTATATCCCATGAGTTGCTCATCTAGTTTCAAAGAGTACTGGATGACAGAACCTCAGGGAAGAATGGACAGTTTACCACTAAAATAGTTCATACTTGCTTGGCGGGTGCTCTGCTACCTTATGTTTACCCTATACAATATGTGTCTATCCCCATGGTTTTAAATGTCTCAGAGAAACACCTTAGGCAAAATCAGAAGACATACATAAAAGAAATAATTGGTCTCTCACTGTCTTCTGACTCTGTGCTTGGTGGATTTTGGATGCCAGAGTCTGAATCACAAGATTATGGGAAAGCCTGCACACTCAGATCATAATCTCAGGACTGGATTTTCAAGCATGAGTGTGTGCATGGATCACATTCCATAAGGAGATTTTTCTAGGTCTGAGAGGATCTTGATATATAATAAGAACTCAATATGGTGGTGATAATGATGATGATGATAATGTATTATTTCAATTAATTCTGATTGCAACTCTATTAGGTAATATTTATTATGTCAATTTACAGAAGAAAACTAAAGTACCGAGAAGCTATGAAACATGCCCACAGTCACACAGCAAGGAGAGGCAGAGAAAGAATTAGAAATTAGATCTATTTGATTTTAGGACTATTTATGAATTCATTCATTTGACAAATATTTATTCAACATCTATTATGTGCTAGATACTGAGGCTCAATGTTGAGCAAATAGTTTTGTGCTCCAGCTTTCATGTAGCTTACAGTCTAATGTTGCAGAAAGATAATCTAATTACATAAAAATATGTAATTGTAGTAAATGCTATGAAGAAAACATACAGAGAAGCATTTTCTATACATATAAAGATGTATTTTCAATACATATATTCAATACATGTAAATACACTTTCAATACCTGTAAAGAATTACCTTAGTAGTTGGCACTATAGTGCCATTTAAATTAACAACCAATATAGCTTTGGCATTGACCAATCAGAATGTATGCATGACCATAAGAGTGGAGCCAACTGGTTGTTCTGGTGTGTGGTGGCTAAATATACATGATGCTTGGCACATGGAAACTATAATTGTGGTGTCTTGCCTGATCAGATCTGGTCTTTATCCCATTCCCCTACTGAAAAGCCTTGTACTCGACAAATACTAACTGAACTATTGAGCAGGCAAATGAATAAAGTATTTTATTCCTGGAACTCTAACCAACTATAACTATGAGAGATTTTGCTGTTTTTACCCATATTCTAGCCACTTCATCTTAGAGTCCAGGAAAGATCTGGATTCTTGCATCATTTTGTGAACCTAATCAATTCCTGAAAGTAGAGAGAATTATCCAGTAATATTTGCATAAAATGCTTAGAACTATGCCTGCCACATGCTAAGCACCATGTAAGTATAACTATTATTATTGTTGTTGTTGTTACTATTTTTAATACTGCTATTAAACCTCTATGTATTTGCTACTGTTATAGGTACTGTCATACCTTATAACACTATACTCAAGACTATGAAATTCATCTATTATCTGTGTTTAACAAAACATTTCAGGGCCAGGCACAGTGGCTCATGCCTGTAATCCCAGCACTCTGGGAGGCCGAGGTGGGTGGATCACCTGAGGTCAGGAGTTCAAGACTGGCCTGGCCAACATGGGAAACTCCGTCTCTAATAAAAATACAAAAATTAGCCAGGTGTGGTGGCACACAAATCCCAGCTACTTGGGAGGCTGAGGCAGGAGAATTGCTCCAACCCAGGAGGCAGAGGTTGCAGTGAGCCAAGATGGTACCACTGCACTCCAGCCTGGGCAACAGAGTGAGACTCCATCTCAAAAAAAAAAAAAAAAAAACAAACAAACACAAAAAAACAAAAACCAAACACGTATTAGGTAGTTATCTGGAAAAACATAACTGGAATTCCTAACTCTACTTAAAGTAAATTCCAGGTGGTAGAAAGATTTGAATGTGAAAAACAAAATCATAAAAACACTAGAAGACCCATAGGATGATTTTTATTACTACCCTGGAATAGGGAAGGTTCTTCTAAGTTGAAACTCATCTCAGAATCCATTAAAAATGAATATTTTGTTTAACTACATAAAATTTTAGAAGTCTCCATGAGAGAAAAACATAAAGTCAATACAATTACAATCTGGGAAAAAATTGCAACCCATTCAGATAAATGGCTAATTTCCTTAATGCTACAATACATAAAGAGTCTAAATTAATCACTAAGGAAAAGATCAATAACCTAGTAGCTAACTAGCTAATGATTTTTTTCTTTTTCTTTATTTTTTAGAGGCAAGGTTTCTCTCTGTTGCTCAGGCTGGAGGGCAGTGACATGATCATAGCTCACTGCACCTTAAACTCTTGGGCTAAAGTGATCCTCCTGCCTCAGCCTCTCAAGTAGCTACGAGTATAAATGTGCACTACCAATCTGGCTAATTAAAAAAAATTTTTTTTAGAGACAGAGTCTCACTATATTGCCCAGGCTGGACTCAAACTTGTGGCCTCAAAAGGTCTTCCTGCCTTGGCCTCTTAGAGTGCTGGGATTACAGGCGCAAGCCATCATGCCCAACTGCTAAAGGTATATATTTTTAAACTTATGCAAGTGGCTGTTTAACATGAAAAGATGGTCAGCCTCATTCATAATAAGAGAAATGCAAATTAAGTGACAGTGAATGCCGTTTTTTGCCTATTCTATTGGTAAAGATAATAAATAAAAACACAGTTAAGTTAGGGAGTGAGAGTGAGGGGAAATAGATACTCTCAAACATTTTTGGTGAAAGGGTAAATTAATACAACTCCTGTAGAAAGCAATTTAAAAAATTTATCAAAAATAAAAATGGAAACCCTTTTGTTTTTTTTTTAATTTTTATTTTAAGTTCAGGGGTACATGTGCAGGTCTGTTATATAAGTAAACTCATGTCATGAGGGTCTGTTGTACAGATTATTTCATCACCCAGGTATTAAGTCAAGTACCAATTAATTATTTTTCCTGATCTTATTCCTCCTCTCACCCTCCACCCTCCAATAGGTCCCAGTGTGTGTTGTTTCCCCCATGTGTCCATGTGTTCTGATAATTTAGCTCCCACTTATAAGTGAGAACACGTGGTATTTTGTTTTCTGTTCCTGCATTAGTTTGCTAAAGATAATGGCCTCCACCTCCATCTATGTTCCTGTAAAAGACATAATCTTGTTCTTTATCATGGCTGCATAGTATGTTATGTGTATGTACCACATTTTCTTTATCCACTCTATCATTGATGGGCATTTAGGTTGATTTCATGTGTTCGCTATTGTGAATAGTGCTGCAATGAATATACGCGTGCATGTGTCTTTATGATAGAACCATTTATATTGCTTTGGCTATATACCCAGTAACAGGATTGCTGGGTCAAATGGTAGTTCTGTTTTTAGGTCTTTAAGGAATAACCACACTGACTTCCACAATGGTTGAATGAATTTACACTCCCACCAACAGTGTTCCTTTTCCTCTGCAACCTCACCAGCACTCGTTATTTTTTGACTTTTTAGTAAAAGCCATTCTGACTGGTGTGAGATGGTGTCTCATTGTGGTTTTGATTTGCATTTCTCTAATGATCAGTGATGCTGAACTTTTTTTCATATGCTTGTTTGCCGTATGTATGTCTTCTTTTAAAAAGTGTCTGTTCAGGCCAGGCGCAGTGGCTCACTCCTGTAATCCCGGCACTTTTGGGAGGTTGAGGTGGGTGGATCACGAGGTCAAGAGATCGAGACCATCTTGGCCAACTTGGTGAAACCCTGTCTCTATTAAAAATACAAAAATTAGCTGGGTGTGGTGGTGCATGCCTGTAGTCCCAGCTACTTGGGAGGCTGAGGCAGAAGAATCGCTTAAACCTGGGAGGTGGAGGTTGTAGTGAGCTGAGATCATGTCACTGCACTCCAGCATGGCAATAGTGCGAGATTCTGTCTCAAAAAAAAAAAAAAAAAAAAGTATCTGTTTATGACCTTTGCCCACTTTTTAATGGGGTTGTTTGGCTGTTTTCTTGTAAATTTGTTGAAGTTCCTTATAGATGGTGGATATTAGACTTTTGTCAGATGCATAGTTTGCAAGGATTTTCTGCCATTCTGTAGGTTGTCTGTTTACTCTGTTGATAATTTCTTTTGCTGTGCAGAAGCTCTTTAGTTTAATTAGATCCCATTTGTCAGTTTTTGCTTTGTTGCAATTGCTTTGCCCATTCCTATGTCCAGGATGGTATTGCCTAGATTGTCTTCCATGGTTTTTATAGTTTAGGGTTTTACTCTTAAGTCTTTCATCCATCTTGAGTTGATTTTTGTATATGGTGTAAGGAAGGGGTCCAGCTTCAATCTTCCGCATGTGGCTAGCCAGTTATCTCAGCACCATTTGTTGAATAGGGGATCCTTTCCCCATTACTTGTTTTTGCCAGCTTTGTCAAAGATCAGATGGTTGTAGGTATGCGGCCTTATTTCTGGGCTCTCAATTCTGTTCCATTGGTCAATATGTCTGTTTTTGTACCAATACCATGCTGTTTTGTTTTTTTACTCTAGCCCTGTAGTATAGTTAATGCAAACCTCTTTGATTCAAGCAATTTTACGTGGGTAATTTGTTCTAAAAACTACAATTATTTTCACACATGCAAAATGAGAAATGCATAAGTATATTCACTGTAGCATTTTTTTGTAATAGCAAAATATAGAAAACAATATAAGTATCCATTAACAAGGATCTGGTTGAATAAATTACAGTAGTTCTCATACTATGGAATACTGTACAACCTTCCCTAAGAATAAAATTGATCTCCGTACTGATATAAAACTGTAATCTGTAAAATAAATTTTAAAGTGAATACATGGCAAAATGCAAAAACATTATGTATAACAAGCTACCATTTGTATAAAAACATAATACATATTTTCATATAATAGAATATCTCTGAATAAAAAAATTAAGAGGATTATTTCTGGGGAGGGACTCTGAGTGGCTGGAATACAGTTTGAGAAAGGTGCAAATGTCTCTTTATATCTTGATTTTTCCCTTGTGAGTATATTACCAATTCAAAATTAATTAAAAATGTGTAATCTCCAATAGCTGCCTAATCTGGGTTTTTAAAGCGATAGAATCTTAGACTTGGAAAGGATTTTGGAAGTTATCTTATCCATTTTTTTAACCAATGAGGGAAAATTTTCTGCCACAAAAACAGCAGATGCTCTTTTACTTTCTTGAACATCTTATTAGTGGGAGTCTACTCGTTGTTGAAACATCCTGCTAAACTTTTGGGTAAGTCTAATCCATTTCTTCTTTGATTAATTTAAATAACATTTATTAAATGCCCCATAGGCACTTGGAATTGTGTGACTCTTGTAATTCCTTTATTATATAGATGCCAACATGTCTCTTTCTTTGGCATTTATTTTTTTCACTTTTGTTTTCCAAGGGATTACCTGGGAATCCATTAGTAACTTGAGAGTCCTTATTCTGTGCTAAATATATTCTGCTAGCTTGTCTCTTCCTCATATGAAATGTGGAATGGTTTTCAGAACTCTTGCTCAACCCTGGAAGTTTATACCTAATTTTTTGTGTGTCCTTTCTACACAGTGGTGCTTTGAACTGATTTCAACATTCCAGGGTGGCCAGACTAGCAGAGAATAGATATATTTTGATCCAGACTGTATATTTATTATAACAGCAACATTGTCAAAAGTCTCAATTTGATTTCACAGTCAAGAAGAGTCAGTAAAAGTAAAAAAGCAACCCATAGATTGGAAAAAAAATATTTACAATCAGTATATCTGATAAGGGAATTTATCTAGAATATATAAAGAATATGTGCAACTCATTAATAAATAAATAACTCAATTTTAAAAATAGACAAAAGATTTTAGCAGACATTTAGCCCAAGAGAACATATGGATGGTAAATAAGCACATAAAAATATGCTCAACAGCACTAGGCATTAAGGAAATGCAAACCAAAACTATGAAATACCGCCTCACATCCACCAGTATTCCAATAATTAAATAAAAAAAAAAACAGACCATAGCAAGTGTTAAAGAGGATGTGAAGAAACTGAAACCCTCATACAGTGCTACTGGAAATGGTGCAGCTAGTTTGGAAAACAATCTGGCAGTTCCTCAGAAACTTAAACAGAGTTACCATATGACCCAGTAATTTTGCTTTTAGGTATTTTCCCAAGAGAAATAAAAATATACATGTACACAAAAACCTGTACGTGAGTGTTAAGGCAGCATTATTCATAATAGCCAAAAAATGGAAACAACCCAAATGTCCCTGAACTAATGAATCGATAAACAATTATAGTGTGCCAATACAATAGCATATTATATGGCTATAAAAAATGAGGTACTGATACATTCCACAATATCGATGAGCCTTGAAAACATGATACAGAAAAACAAGTCACAAAAGATCACATATTGTATGATTCTTTTTATATGAAATGTCCAGAAGAGGCAAATCTGTGGGAGACAAAAATACATCAATGTCTCCAAATGATGGGGAAGGTGCACTGGGGAATGACGGCTTAATGGTTTGGGTTTTTCTTTCTGGGATGATTAAAATATTTTAAAATCTGTTAATGTACTAGAAACCAATTAATGTTACATTTTAAAAGGGCAAGTTTTCTCGTACATGAATTATATCCCAATAAAACTGTTTTTTTTTTTTTTTTTTTTTTTTTTTTAAAGCAGAGCCTGTAGGCCAGGGATCATTTGCTATTTTGTGCCATAAATTCCATTGGCAACCTAGTGATGAATCCCTTCTCGAATATTTTTAAATATGAAAATAAAATGCATAGGACTACTATCTTAGTTGGCTTTCTGTTGCTTATAACATAATACCTGAAACTGGGTAATTCATAAAGAAAAAGAATTTATTTCTTAACAATGATGAAGGCTGAGAAGTCCACGGTCCAGAGGCTGCATCTGGTGAGAGCCTTCTTGGTGGGGACTCTCTGAAGAGCCCTGAGGCTGCACAGACTATCACATGGCAAGGGGGCTGAGCCTGCTGACATGCAGATGTGCTAGCATGCTATGCCCAGGTCTCTTCTCCTCTACTTAAAAAAGCACCAGTTCCACTCCTATGAAAACCCATTAATCCATTAACCCTTGAATTCATTAATTTGTGAATGGATTAATCCATTTGTGAAGGCAGAGCCTTCATAATCCAATCACCTTTTTAAGGCCCCACCCCTCAATGTGGCCAAATTGGGGATTAAATTTCCACATGGATTTTGGAGGGGACATTTAAACCATAGCAACTACAAATGAAGGCAATGAACTGAAATACATTTCTATTTGCCGACTATTCCTCCTTTGGAAATATTGTCAAATCATTATCTTCATTGTTACTGTTGATTTTGAACTCTAATGCAGAAATTTGTATTTCTTTTTGTTTAATTTAGTCTTGATTTTTTTAAATCTCTACGGACTGTTACGATCTTTTTTATTACTGCTGTTTTTATTCCACATATATCCCTTTGAACTTTGTTGGAGGTGTAATAAATATTCCTCCATTTTCTCCATCTAAATCATTGATGGGAATGTTGAAAAACATGTGGCTAGGTTCAAACATTATTGCTGTCACCTAAAGACCTTTCTACAGCTTAAAGATAAATACAAATAAACATAAACCTACACACACTTCTAATAAAGTTGTTTACCGATAAACAACCAAAATCTCTGTTAGTCTCCTTTAGACCACGTACCAAAATTTTAATCTACAAAATGTAATCAATCTATTGATCAAATGATGCACTAATTAAATGCCTGCCAAAGGCTAGAACATTTGCTAGATGATAGAACTATAATGGTAAAAATGACATATTTTCTACCCTCAATTTTAGTTATTTAGCCGGGGAGACATATACATTCTGTATGGCAAGGGGAGGTGTGGGAGGAGACTTTGGGCTACCTCAGGGGCCAGATCACAAAAGGCCTAACGAGGCAAACTAAACATGGCTTATTTTCATATCCTGAGAGACTTCAGTGCCCTATGATATTTATGTGATCTTTAAGTTTAATAAACCTTTCAAAAAAATGAAGTGTACTGAATTTGGCATAACTTTTGTTTGTGAACCATTTTTATCTTCCAGTACACCCTTATTTCTTCCCAAGTGCTTAAAAGCCATAGATTTAGTAACCTGTTAAATAATTTTGCAGGAATGTGACACAGGGATTGAAGACCAGAATAAACTATGCATAACAAAAAAGAATACGGCCAACTGGGCCGGTCGTGGTGGCTCACGCCTGTAATTCCAACACTTTGGGAGGCCGAGGCGGGTGGATCACGAGGTCAGGAAATCGAGACCATCCTGGCTAACACAGTGAAACCCGTCTCTACTAAAAATAGAAAAAAATTAGCTGGGCACGGCGGCGGGTGCCTGTAGTCCCAGCCACTCGGGAAGCTGAGGCAGGAGAATGGCGTCAACCCGGGAGGCGGAGCTTGCAGTGAGCCGAGATCGCGCCACTGCACTCCGGCCTGGGCGACAGAGCGAGACTCCGTCTCAAAAAAAAAAAAAAAAAAAAAAAAAAAAAAAAGGAATACAGCCAACTCGCAAAGAGAATCCCGAGGAGAAAAGTAGAAGTGAGACAGGCAGTGTTCAAAACTGAGTTCAAGTTGTTCATAAGCCATTCTTGGGCATCATGAGACAGTAAGCTGTATGAATTCTCTCTCTCTCTCTCTTTCTCTGTTTCTTGCTCCTTCCTTCCTTCCTTCCGTTGAATTTTTGAGACTTACTATTGAAAGACTTCTACCTAATACAGACATATTACCTTTTGTACTTTCCTGAGAATGTGTCTACCTTCCTAAAGTACAGTGTGAGCTCCCCTTCTATGAGCTCTGTTTCTTTGCAACAAGACATGTTTTTGTCTTCCATTGCTTTCTATCCATTTCTTTTCTTTTTTATATTTTTGCTTCATCAGGAACACATTCCTCTTCAAAATCTCAACCACCATTCAAGACTCACATGAAATAACTAAACCACAAAGACTTTCCTAAACCTATCGAATAAAATGTAATGTTCTTTGAACTCCCCTTATATTTCATTTGTACTTCTGTTTTGACCCTTCTTTTAGAATTAAATGTTTTGAAGACCAAGCATTGTGCCTTCATTTTTTTTTTAACTGGTCTCACCTATAACAGGACAGGCTTAGTTCTTTGTCTGTGTAATAGTACTTGCTCAGTGTATTTATCGTTAAATTGACAAATTAAAATTATGCTACTATATATCATTTTTTTGCAAATGGTAACAAATTGACTAACAAAAGTTAAGTGATTAAGAAAAAATAGCTATTAAGGAGCAGGGATGAGACTAAAATGGTGCATGGTGGTTAGTAAACACACAATGAAGATTGTTGAATAAAGTTTTTCATACCATAACAATTTATTGAGTTCCTACCAAGCATCAAGCACTGTTCTAGGTACTAGAAATATGTCAGTGAATAAAATAGAAAATTCTCTAACAATATGGAGCTCATATGCAAGTCAGAGAGATAGAGAATAGGTAAATAATATAGTTTTATGTGGAAAAATCTGGAAAGGATGGCTAGGATGCATATGGGGAGGGGGATTACAATTTTAAAACAGGATCATAAGGAAAGTCTTATTTAGCTGCTAACATTTGAGTAAGATCTGAAAGAGTTAAAGAAGCAAGCCATGCAGATGTCTTGAAGAAGAATGTTCTAGGAAGAGGGAAAACCACGAGCAAAGGCCATGAGGCAGAAGCATGACTGCTGTTTTAGAAATTGAAGACCTGTGTGGCAAAGAGGAAAAATTATGGTGGAGAAAACTGCAGGATATTAGATTAATGAGCTGTCCATGGGCCAAATCAAGTACAGTCTTTTATGCCCTTAAATACTTTGGCTTTTACTCTGGCAATATGGAAAGCAAACCATTGGACAGTTTTGAGTAGAAGAGTTTTATGATGTAAAATTTTAAGGATCCACCTGGGCTGCTGCATTGAGTGAATAAATTGAAAAAGAGACAAGGGCTAAATTTGGTAAATGAGTTAGAAACCTATCGCAGTCATCTAGGCAAGAGAGATGATGGAGGCATGGGTCAGGATAGAAGCAATGGCAGTGATAAGAAGATATCTGATTCTGAATATCTATTTTAAGATTAATTGTCCCAATTGCTTACCCTAAGGTAGCAAGTCAGCAAATTAGAAAGTTGAGTGGAATTGATTCTAAATAGTTCTTATAAATTATACTGATGATCTAAGAAATAATTTGTAACACCAAGGGATTTTAGTAACAGATAGGAACCCCTTTCCTTCTACCTGAGAAGCAAAATAGGGACAGTCAATAGTATGAGTCTACTGCTGGTAGAATGGACATAGGCTTTGGAGGTAGGTACGCTGGAGCTTCCATCCTTCTGCTTTCATTAACTAGATGTGGGACTCAGGCAAGGAACTCAAATGCTTTGTTTTCATGTGTTGGAGAGCTATGATGATTACATAAAATAAGGTGCATAAAGTGTCCAGCATAGTGCCTGACATAGAGCAAATATACACTCAAGTTAGTGCCCTCTCTTTTCTCCCTTTCCAATTCAGCCTTCCAGCCCTGCTTAGGAATCTTTCTTAAAAACTCAGAGGAAATTTTAAATCTTAGGTATGCCTTTTGTCACTTTTCTAATGATGGAAAATGCGTTTCAGAAACAGAATAGAAAATAAATATTTTCATGATGTACTTTCTGAGAAAATATGTTTGAATCTAGTAAGAACTATGCTATCTAGTTTATTATCAAAGGTAATAATTTTATTAAGGTTTTAAATGGAAATAGTCCTACTCTTTTCTAATGACTCAGAAGTAGAACTGTTTTCCAACAAATTTTATAGCGTTCATCAATTTTATTCCTCTTGGATAAATATCCCCTTCCTGAATACTAAGATTCCAGAAAGGCGAAACAAAGTTTAAGAAACTTACAGTACCTTTGGAAAGTTAGGCTAGGTCATTTTACATTCTGGGAATAAATTAAGAAAATATGCCATCCATCACTTCATCACTTTAAAAAAGGCCAACCCTATAACACACAGACCTCCACAATTTTCTCTTACATTTATGTACATACCACATTTAGATCTGAATCTCTCTCTCTCTCTCTCTCTCTCACACACACACACACATACACACACACACACACACACACACACACACTCATAAGCATGCTCTGAGGAAGTGTAACTCTCAAATCCCAAAATATTTTATTTGGCTTAGGTGGCTTTTAGAATGTCATGCCAGAATAACTTCCCTATTCCATACTTTTCCTTTTCAAAAGCTCTTGTTAGGTAGCTATAAAAGTTACTATTATACCTGGATAATAAATTAATGGATAAAAATCAATTCGCCTAGTCCTTTTTGTCTGAACAAACTCAAAAAAAACTTGTTAGTTTCCCCCACTTACTAATTTTTAGACATCTTCACATTGCCTGCAAAATTGATCACCACCTGGTCCTTTCCTGACTAATGATACCCATTTCCTGCTGTGATGGCACCTCCCCCTGCAGCCAGGCAAGTTAGTTATGCACATGACTCATCCACTCCTTCCTTTTAGTCATTTTCCTGACCATATTCTAGCCTGAATTTTTTCCTTATGTCTCTATGTCATGCCATTTCCTTTACTGTTTCAAAATACTCCTCAAAACTCCATGTGCCCTTCCCAGACGTCCTGCCTCTAATAATTCCAATAACCCCTTAGAATGTATGTGTCTATATTAAAAGTGATGCTACTAAGCATCTTATCACATCAAGAAATAGATTGTATTTTCTAGCACAGAATCTGGGAGTGAAATACATCTTAGAGTTTATCTAGTGTAATCCCTTCGTTTTCTAGATGAAGAAAACTGGTCTAGAGATCTTAACTTTATCAGGACCAAAACTCCAGTCTCCTGACTCCAAGCCTAGTGTACTTTCTACCACCCCATGCTCTTCCCTCTACTTTCCCCTGTCCAGTTGTTTTAATCTGGTTACTAGAACAACTCAACTAGCCCTGGGATAATATTAAAGTTTCTGTCTTCCATCATTCCATCCAGCTGTTAATACCCAGAAGTTACTAAACCTCTCTTAGTCTCAGTTTCTTCATTTGTGAAATGGGGACATTGATAGTACCCATGTCATGGATTCACTCTGAGGCTTAACTGAAAAGATCCAGGTATCTGGAATATGTCAGGTGTTCAGTAAATGTTAATGGTGGTATTGATAATGACAAATATAACGGTGAATTTAAAATAATATTTGTAGTGGGTTGATTTTGTTTGTTCTTTCAATGGTCTCCTGGTTCTTCCACTATCTTTCTCAAACTTATGCTCTTCCTTATAGGGCTCTCATAAAAAGTGATTTACATTCCTAGTTTCACTTATTGTATGAAGATCCAGAGCAAAGGAAGCCATCAATATAAGGATCAGCCACAGAAGTAGGGAGTAGGTGTGGACCATCTGGCTGAGATGATAGAAAAATGAGTGACATTTGATTTTTGACTTCAGAGAACAAGAAATTTAGTTGGCAAGTCAGATTTAAAACCCCAGAAATGAAGTATAATTAACCACCCAATGCTGAAGTGACTTGAGGTGCAGTAGCTGGCTGGAGAAAGAAGATTTAAGCCTAGACTTGAGAAATCAGGGAAGACTCCTGGTGACAAAGCACTTGAGTCAAGGCCTAGGGTCTCAGGTGGTGTAGAGGAGAGTGCAGGTATTTCAGAGAGTGGGTACTGGGTGGAATGTTCTGAGAACACAGAGGACAGTAGCATGGCTGGAAACAATGGCATCACTATTTGATGTTCCGCTTACTATAGTGCAAAGCTTTGCTCTTAGACCCTCCCTTCTCTCAGATATGCTGAACCAATAAGCTGCTGAGCCCTATCCTTCAAAGTTTCTTTTTTCCTTTCTATTTCCACCACTATTTCCTGCATCCATGCTCTCGTATTCTTTTGTCTGAAGAGTTGCTAGAATATTCTCTGGTCAGTTTATCTCTAATTTCTCCTGGCATCTGCCCACCCCTAGAACCACTATCAGATACATCTTCCTAAAACACAGCACTAATTATACTAACAACAGTTACAATGCATTGAGCATTTAATCTATAAATAAACCCAAAGACAGCATTATTTATCCCCTTTATTTAAGTAAAGGCTCAGACTTAGACATGTCAAATGATTGGGCCCAAGGTCCCAATGAAAGTTGGATCAAGAATTGAAACCCACCTCATTCTAACTCCAAGGTTCATGCGTTACCTCAAATTATATGGCCTATATTGCTTAAAATAAACCAAATACAGCAAATTCATGACAGCTCACTTCCTTACGGTCTTCTCTGTCTCCAGTCCTGCACCCTTGTATGCTGTCTCTTTTCTGCCCCTCAGAACTGAACATAAACCAGTGCCCTTTTCCCAGATTACACTCCTCTTGTGCATGCATGCATACACATGCACATGCACACACACAACAAAATCCATTTGCGCACAAACTGAGGATTTTATGAGCTTAATAATATTTGAATAGTCAGCAAGAGTTTCACAGTGAACACCCACATCCCTCTGAAACTCCTGGCTTCCATTTGTTCTCTTTCCTATTTCAATCTTAAATGCTTACCCACTCCAATCTTAATTCTGGGATCAACAAGAATCTCTCCCTTGTCCTGCACAGAGCAGCACCACCCACACTCAGACCACAAAATGATTTATGCTTAGACCCCAAGAGGAATGTTGGTGAACAGCATTTTCTCCCTCTTCCTACATCGGGAAGAACAAACCACCCTACAACTCCAAGATTATTGGTTTGTAGTTAGAGTTACAAGTAGAAAAATAGCATTAGACTTTGGTTTAAAATATAATCACTTCCTGTATTCTGAGACCCTCATCTTTAAATTAGTTTACTTGAAAAGTTTAACAGGGAATATAGTAGGGGATATAAAGATGAATAAGTTCCCATTCTGCCCTTAAACTGCCTAGTCTTATGGGAGGAAATGGACACAAGCACTTATAATAACACTATGTTCTACATAGAAGTATGCAAAGAGAAGGTGTACTTTACCTTGTAGATCAGACTTCTTGTAAGAAATTGTACTCCAGTTGAGCTCGAAAGATACCTAGCAGTTAGCCAGACATAGAACGATGGGGAATTACATTCAAGACAGAGGGAACAGCATAAGTAAAGGCAAGGAGGAGTAAAAGAATAACACATTGTGTGTTGGAAAGGAATGATTAACTGCTCAGAAGTATAGGAAGGCGTATTAGTCCATTCTTATACTATAAATTACATGAGACTGAGTAATTTATGAAGAAAAGAGGTTTAATTGACTCACAGTTCTGCAGGCTGTGCAGGAAGTATGTCAGGGAGGCCTCAGAAAACTTACAATCATGGCAGAAGGTGAAGGGGAAACAAGCACATCTTCACATGTTGGAGCAGGAGAGAGAGAGCGGAGGGGGATGTGCTACAAGCTTTCAAACAACTAGATCTTGTGGGAACTCTGTCACAAGAACAGCAAGGGGGAAATGACCATGATTCAGTCATTTCCCACCAAGCCCCCTCCTCCAATACTGGGAATTAGAATTCAGCATGGGATTTGGGTGGGGACACAGAGCCAAACCATTTCAGAATGCATGGCTGAAGAATTTGGAAGGTGTCAGATCTTATGGGGCCTCATTTGTCATGCTAAAGGGTCTGGAAAATACCCTCCAGGTAATGGAGGGACAGTGATGTGTTCTAAGCCAGAGAATGGCATAGTCAGGTTTATAATTTTGGTAGAACAGATTCAGTCAGAGTCTCTGACGTGGAGAATTGATTTGAGAGAAGCAAGACTGGGCAGAGAGTTCTGGAGGATAACGCAATTGGGCAGGGACTAAAGGGTAAAACAGAGGAATACCAAGGAGGTCAATCTGGCAGGTCTTGGTAATCAACTGAATGTGGGAGCTAATGGAGAAGGATAAGGTCAAGATGACTTGAGGGACCAGCGTGTGCTGGCCTTTCACTGGGATTATAGGGTTCCCTGATTCTCATCATCAAGAACAAGAATAATCAATATAACTTTAAACTTGCTGAGTTTTAGGTAACAGAGAAATATTAATTATTCACTGTCTAACTTCCTTAAGGTCTTTACTGAAATGTCAACTTTTCAGTGAAGTCTTCTCTGCACACTACTCTCCCCAGCAATGACCATCCATCCCCTCTACCCATCCATGCTTTTCCCATAGCACTTATCACCATTTAACATATTTATTATATTTTAGTTATCTGCCTTCCCTTACTAAAATGTAAGCTCCTTGAGGATGAGTGTTTTTTGGTCTATTATGTTTACTACTATACCCCCAGTACCTAGAAGAATCTCTGGTTCATTGTAGGCACTAAAAATATATTTGAGAAATGAATGAACAAATGTCAGTGAATATAGGCAATTGATTTATGAGTTGTTCAGGGGTAGCTGAACAGCTGCCTACAGATAGTGACTTCTTGGCAAGTATCACCTTTTATCTGCTTTGATATATGCTTCTTCCTCCCCTTTCCTCTCAAAAAGAGCTCTACATCTTGCTTTCCTATTTAGTTTCATAATCTTATAATGACAGCGGTTCTGATTACCGGCAAAATCAAGACCTCTGAAAATCTAACCTATAGTTTTCTAAGTGTACAAACAAACATCCTGGTTAACTCTTGTTTACTTTATCTTTCCACAGAGGGGCCATATTGGAGTTAAATAAATAAAAAAGTATGCTGTTTGTTTGGAATCTGAATAATTGGTCTGAATACTTTCCATCATAACCAGTGAGAGAGAAGAGCCTGTTGAATCAAAATGTGAAAATGACTTTTAAAACGTGCATACATAAAAGGTAATATGATGATTTGTATCTTTACTTGTACTTGTTTCTCTTGCCTGTCTCAGAAGAAGCATTCATTTTTCCAAAATGAATGCTTCTACCTGTGCACTTGATCCCATTTCCTCCTGGGCATTCCGTCATCCTCTGATCCCTTGCCTGGACTGTTGTATGTAATTGCTTTCTGCCTGGGCTCCTTGCCTCCAGGCTCTGTTTACTGTCCAACCAGCGCTAACACTATTGCCAGAGGTATATTTCTGACACACCACTCTGATTATATCACCCTATGCCTCCATTTACTTATATGGAAATTATCTGTGTACCTGTTGCTCTTGACTAGAATGTGAACTCTTAGAAGGCTAGTGTCACTTTATACCAGTGACTGATATGGCACCTGTCACATAACTGTATTCAAAAATCTTTTTTTTGTTTTCCATTTTCTAAATACTAACTCACTTAAATGTTATTCCAAGTGCTCTGTAATTTTACCCAACCTGCTTTTTAGAAAATTACTATCTCCTCTTTATGCCTTCCATAGTACCCAACATATAAAGCAGGGTGTTCTGAACAAATCTGTTTTCAAAATGGTTATGTCAGAATGTCACTCACTATTTTTAAATAACCGGGTAACCTGGACAACAGACATCCCTGCTCCCATGTTTGGCACTCATATCCTTAATTGTGTCTACCCTAGTCTTGAACTTTACCCCAACCTGAGCCATGATAAAGCGCATTTGCACACTGCTTGACAATTTAAAAAGTTGAAAGTTGTTTGCATTTTAAGGCAAGCTAAAAGTTCTCCAAATCAAACTGGTTGCATAAAATGACCTGTCTATACTGCAGGATACTTGCTGTTCCCTGAACTCACTGTGATTGCTCACAGTGCTACCTTGAGCCATGTTTTTCCTGGTACCTTGCACCCCATTCCGCCCCACTATTCCACTCCTTGTTAGAGCTTTCCTACTCATCCTTCAAACCCAGGTAAACAGCTGCCTCTTCTATGCATACTTTACTGCTCTCTCACACCAGCGTTAATTCCTTCCTCTTTTGTGTCTCCAAATGGTGCTGTTTGTACCCCCTTTAGAACAGGTCTTACAGTCAGAGCTCTGTGTGTGTCCCGTTGGAGGCAAATGTCTCTTTCCTGGCTTCCACAAGGAAGCATTTTCCCTTAACCTTCTTGTCTTCTTGTTCCTCCACCATCTTCTCCCCACAGAGAAATCACCTGTTTGGTGGATGACAGCTTTTGGTCCATGTTTCTTAACTGGGTGGAATTAATCCTTTGGTGGTCATGTGATCACATATTTGGTCTCTTTTCTTGTTCCCTCTCCACTTTGACCAGTGGGAGGTAAGACCTGAGTTAAGTGTGTCTACTTTGAAAACTCAAATCTTTCCCTCTATTGGGCTGTTCCAAGGTCTAGACTGGGAATAGGAAACCTGATTTGGCTTTTACATGTTTATGCTTCAACCGAGTCTCTGTTGGTAATAAAACTGATATATTACTTATCTATTTCTGTGTTTTATCTTATTTCTCAATTTGTCCAGAATTCTAATAGGGAAGATGATGCCAGTTTCCTAGACCCCTTCAAACTTGTCTTCTCTACCTTATCTATTAATCTTTTAGGGTTGAGGCCATGTCAGATTCATCTTGTAGCTCAAGGACTAGCACATGGTCAGTGACATATTTTTTTGATCGAATTAAGGAAATGTTCAAATCAGAAGCTTCAAACTATGCTGAAGCAGAGAAATGCTGGGTTGTCTTCCCGAACATATTGAGTGCCAGCATTTCTTTGTGTAATTTCTTGTATGCTTTAGGCATTATTTACCGTTGAGTCAGAGAATTACTCTAAAGTAGTCCATGTGTGATAAATATGACAGAATCTTGAGGAGAATAGCAAAGGTCCCAGGGATGTACAGGTGTCCACACTGACAGCTGAACTGTTCAGTTCTCTGGCTCTGATGGTCCCAAGTATAACCAAGTTGTGAGACAATAACAGGCCAAATTAACATTGCTATTTAAATCTCACCAGCACCTGGTCCTCACCTGATCACTTGGGATCCAGGCTCTTCACGTTATTTTGTGTATTGTCCAGGTGGTTGAATATCACCTGTACTCAGGGATAATCTCACTTTGTGTGCTTTTGATGTAGCCACCTGAACCACTTTCTCTGCTGCCACTGCCTTGCATGAAAACAACTGAATTGGTGTTGAGGCTGCTGACTCCTGACGTTCCCAAAGTTCTCAGTCCTGGAGTTGCCAAATGAATGCAGCAGTGTTTGGTCCTGTGCTGCATTTTGTCCCTATGGAGGCAGTATAGAGAGAAGAGCTGAGCTCAGAAGACTGTGAACATTGGCAAATGGGTACACTCAGTGAGGGGGAGGAGGAAGAAGTGGGACAATGACCAGTGAGAGAGACCAAATTGATGAAAGTTTCCAGAACTGGTTTGGCAGGGAAGCTCAAACATATTTGAAACTAATTTTTATTTGCAATTTGTTTTTAAGGATATCTAGCCTCGGAGATCCTCACAGAGGTTTGTGCATATGGATGTTTTCTCCAACAGTATTTATATGAGTCACTTCCAGAGCACAGTTTTGGTCAACTGGCAGTGGCAAAGCTCAGATCACAGCAACGAGTGAGTGGTGAGGAAAAGGAGGCAGTAAAATTGAGGAGAGAAATGGGACAGGACCTTAAAGAGAATAGCAAAAGTCCCCACTTGGAAACACAGGGAAGTCAATATGGCTGGGCAGCATGGAAGACGGGTGGGTGGAGAAGGCGCTGGGCAGGATTACCCAGGGCATCTTTAGCCAGGGATGGGGGAGGAGTTTTATTTTGAATGAGGTGAGAAATAATTGGAGGATTTTAGTGAGAGAGTGAGATTATCTGGTTTTCTATTGAAAAACATTTTCTGGGCTGGGCGTGGTGGCTCATGCCTCTAATCCCAGCACTTTCGGGGACCAAGGTTGGAGGATCACTTGAGGCCAGGAATTTGACAGCAGCCTGGGCCCCCATCTCAACAAAAATTAAAGTAAATTAGCTGGGCATGGTGGTGCACACCTATAGTCCCAGCTGCTGGGGAGGCTGAGGCGGGAGGATTGCTTGAGCCCAGGAAGTTGAGGCTGCAGTGACCCAAGATTACACCACTGCACTCCAACCTGGGTGACAGAGTGAGACACTGTCTCAAAAAGAAATAAAAGCAAGCAAACAAAAAAAAAATAAAAATAAAGGAAAGAAAAGAAAAACATTTTCTTGCACTACTTATTCTTACAAGAATAAATTTTATGGCGAAAAAGTGGAGTCAGTAGGGACCGGTTATCAGGTTATTACAAATGATTGAATAGCCAACACTCAGCCTGGGTTTTACTACGACTGTATTTTTTCCTGATTACACAAATACTGCAATAAATATAGGAATGTAATTTTTCACATTTTAGGTTATTACCTTCAGAGAGAATTCCTGAATTAAACTAACTGAATTTTTAAAAATCATCATTTTTTCCCTTTAAATGTAGCCTATAATAGCACTATTCACAGTAGCCAAAACATGAAAACAACCTAGATATCTATCAAAAAATGAACAGATAAACAAATTGTAGTACAGGCACACAATGGAATATTATTCAGCCATAAAAAGGAATGAAGTATTAATACATGCTATGAGATGATACACCTCCAAAACATTATACTAAGTGAAGAAAGCCAGATACAAAAAATCGCATCTTGTTTAATTTTATTTGCATGAGCCACCCAGAACAGGTAAATCCATAGAGACAGAGAGCAGATTGGTAGTTACCAGGGACTGGTGGGAGGAAGCATGGGGAATAACACATTTTTTTTGTGGGGTGAAGATTAAAAGATTTTGGAATTCAATATAGGTGGTAATTCAGTATAGATGGTAAACATTGTAAATGCACTAAATGCCCCAGAACTTTAAAATGATTAATTTTATGTGAACTTCACCTCAATAAAAAAGTTGTTTAAAGACAGTCTGTACATTTCTGTACTTTGAGAACCTTGTTGTAGTGTTTTCACTTGTGCTTTGTAAAAGAATGCAATTTATCCTAGTGCCAGCAAGGTACAAGAATTCCAGTTTAATTATATACCAACAGTATTGTTTGCAAATAACACTCCAGTTAAAAATTTGTTGGTTATTTGTATCTCAGCCACATTTACTCTTCTAAAAATTGTTTCTTTTTGTCTTTTACTTCTTTATACTGAAGTCTGATGCTTCTGTTATAATTCCTATGTCCTTTGTAAAATAAACATAATATCTCTTTTTCTGTTCTCTTTGTTGGACATATCTTTCCTCAGTCTGTCTGCCTTTTTACAAACTATATTTTTTTCATTTTTGTATCATCATGCCTATTTGTCTTTTTCCATTGTGATTTATTCTTTTACCTCTAAGCTGAGAGAGTCATCCTTTTCAAGAAGTCTAGTTAATATTTAATTGCTTTTTTCCCTAACTTTTGTACAGTTTGATCCATCAGGAATTCATTTTTAATAGTTAAAAAATTCTTTATAAGGTTCCCCCCCCCTTTTTTTTTTTTTAAGACAGAGTCTCACAAAAAAGACTCAGCCTCCCGAGTAGCTGAGATTAGAGGTGTGTGCCACCATGCCCAGCTAATTTTTGTATTTTTAGTAAAGACAGGGTTTCGCCATGTTGGCCAGGTTGGTCTTGAACTCCTGGCCTCAAATGATCCATCCACCTCGGCTGCACAAAGTGCTGGGACTGCAGGCGTGAACCACCGTGCCTGGCCCAAAAATTCTTTATAAGGTTTTCTACAGGCAGATGAGAAGTTCTAATTTCTTGTTTTTATGAGAACAATATAATTTTGAGCATGGTTTCTTAAAATTGAGCAATATGCAGACCCCTTTTTAAAAAAGAATATGGTAGTCTTCAATGATAAAAAAAAATTATTATGTAAACTCCCGTTATGGGTTGAATTGTGTCTGCCCCCAATTTTTATGCTAAAGTCCTAACCCCCAGAATCTTGGAGTGTGGTCTTTAATTTAGATATATGGTCATTGCAGAGGTAATTAGTTAAGATGACCTCACACTGGAATAGGCCTCTGATTCAATATGACTCATGGGTGTGCTTATAGAAGGGGAAATTTGGACACAGACATATGCACAGGGAGAATGCCATGTGAAGATTAGAGTTATGCTGCCACAACCAAGAAACTACCAGAAGCCAGGAGAGAGGCCTGGAACAGATCCTTCCCTAGCTCCTCAGAGGATGCATGGCCCTGTCAATCTCGGACTTCTAGCCTATAAAACCGTGAGATAATAAATGTACATTGTTTAAGCCACCTTGTTTTTGGTACTTTGTTATAGCTGCCCTAGCAAACTAATACACTTACATATGCACAAACTAATACTAGTCATACATGAACCTATAATTCTTTTGCAGCATCAAAGCAAAGCACATTTACAAAATACATAAAGCCAGGTTTGAAATGAACTCCATTAAGTTGATACAACGTTCAGTGCAAATTGCTGAAACTAGATTTTGGCTCCCAATATGAATGTGTTCCTGACTTTCCTTATTCGCATATGGGTGTAATGAAATTCTCCCACCCTTTCTCTACCCCAGAATCTTCCTTCACACAATGCTTATCGCATCATTCAGTTTTTACTTGGCCTAGTCAGTTCTGTTCTGTTCTTTCTTCAGTCATCCTCAATAATTTTAAAACTTAACAATAATAAACTTGGACCCTGAAATTATGCCATAGTTCCTGGTTACAAGGTGGTCATTCAAATAATTTAGGTTATGCTCATGTTGATTACTTTTAGTTGATCATTAAAATGAAAATACAAAATAAAAAATTCTCATGGGAACATTGCAGACTCCTAAGAATACACGCACAAATTACCAAGCATTCAGAAACCTTGATTTGGGAAAAGTGCAATCCTGAGAGACCCTTTCGTTTGGTGAGGTTTACCCTGGGAACACTCTCTCTACTCTTCTTTTCAGTTAATCAACTGGATTATTGGGGCAGAGAGATTTCCTGCATGTTCTCACTCTGGTTTGCTTTTCTGTGTTATGGTTGATGACTTGAAGTCCTACTTCCCTTTCAGAGAATTCTGAAGATGCTGTCACTGCTTCCTCAAAGCCAGCTTTTTTGCCACCACCAGGCAGTAAACACCTAAGCTGTGAATAGGGTTCAATACAGTGTTCTCATGACCTAATGCAAAGGCTTATTTAAAAAAATAAATAAATATAATAACTTCAGGTCAGCCAAGAATGTGAGCTGAAAACAAACCAGTCAAAGACCAACAAGAAAAGATGAATTCATATAAGCATTTACTGAAAAAAATTTAAAATCCCGACAATGTAAATCTAGACTGCTGTGGTCTCACTTCCCAAAACACCCAGGGTAGGAACCGGAAAGCCAGCAAACCACTTCTCATGCTCTATAATTTGGAAGAGGAGAGAACTAGATTTCACAGCATTTGGACACCTTTGCTCAAATATACTATAAGCACTTTTTCCCCCTTCAAATTTCTGGGAAAACTAGCATTTCTCTAAAATAAACGCCAGATTTTACCCAAACCTGGGCCAAAAAAAAAAAACCACACACTTTAAGAATTTATTCAAGGTTTCTTGTAGAAATAAGCATCACAATCATTGAAACATTCTAAGTTAATTTCACCAATGCTTGCTAATGGGATCAGTAGACATGGGATGTGCTGACTTATTCCTTTGTGCAGTGCCACATCCTGGGGCAGGATGAGAGAAGTGATATCTTTAAGCTTGAGAACATTTAGCTGATTGCTTCCCAAGGCAGCTTTGAAGCTGACATGATTCAGCCAATCAAATAGTTTGTATCATGGGTAGACTAGAGAGAGTATGTGGCATGGAAAGGAAATCTAAATTTGAATCCTGGAGGACTTTAGATAGACAAGTTCTTATATTTTCTTAGCTCTTGCTTTTACATGTGTAACCTGAAGAAATTGACCTCCTTTATAGGATATTATAAACATTAATTGAAATAAAATATGTAAAGTACTTCTGCCTCACACACACACACACATTATATACATTATATACTCAAACACAAATATTAGGTAGAACCATTAGAAATTGCTGATATTGGTCATTTTTGACCTACAAAAATGGCAATTTCACGTGGTTTGACTTAATATGTATGTAAAGAATTATAGGCAGTAGCAAAAAAGTAAGGAATGTCACCTCTTTGAGTTACACATGATGTTTAAAATATGAAGCACCCATACTTTAAGACATAATGGATAGTGCAATAAGACATATAGGTGCTGCAGGCCGGGCTCGGTGGCTCATGCCTGTAATCCCAGCACTTTGGGAGGCCGAGGCGGGTGGATCACAAGGTCGGGAGATCGAGACCATCCTGGCTAACATGGTGAAACCCCGTCTCTACTAAAAATACAAAAATTAGCCTGGCGTGGTGACAGGCACCTGTAGTCCATAGTCCCAGTTACTCGGGAGGCTGAGACAGGAGACTGGCGTGAACCCGAGAGGTGGAGCTTGCAGTGAGCCGAGATCGCACCACTGCACTCCAGCCTGGGCGACAGAGCAAGACTCCGTCTCAAAACAAAAACAAAAACAAAAACATATAGGTGCTGCAGTGGGAGAAGAGAAAACAAAAGGGCAGAACAATAGCCATGTGCCCATTCTTAAGTGCATGTCTAAGAAAGGGCACAGCAAGAGAACTGAACTAGGCCCTAGGCCCACTTTGGCATATATATGCTGTGCTAACATAAACGCTTAAAAAAAAAAGTAATTTGTGAGCTGAAAAAAGAGAATATGCCCAATACCCAAGGCAAATTAAAAATACACTTTGATATTGTCTTGATACTTATGTTTTAATTCAATTAACCCTGCGGTGTTGTTTAATGTTGATGCATGTTGATGCCAGGATGTCAGTCATAATATTTTGCTCATTAGCCGTTATTTGCTATCCTAATGGAATGGGCTAGCCCTGAGACATGCAAGATTACAGTTGTTTTTCAGCTTTTCAGACTTGTAATGAACAATGTTCTACCAATTTGCCACCCCCACATTCGGTCTCCTGGAAATAACTTGCCACTCTCAAGTTTTGTCTCCAGATTAGTGGTTCAGATCTTGTGTTTTCAGTTAGGTGACTTTCCTACCTGGTGGCCGGATGAATCCTGTGGCTTTTTCCAGTTAGGAGACAGAGTGGCCACTAACAGGAACTGGGTCAAAATGGTGAAGACTCAGGTCATGAGTGGTTTATTTATGGCAGACAGCAAAACTAAAAGGAGGTCAGAAGGTCAGCTTAGTAGCTGACTTGGAGTCTTACCTTTTGGGCTTGAGAAAAGTTCAAAAAAATGTAGCTTCATGGGAGCTGGAATAGGGGATGATCTATTAGAGTGAAGGACTCAAGAGTGGTTTATATCCCTATATTCATTAAATTCATGAGTTCTTCTGGAATTATGAGTTCAGGGAAACCCTCCAACTATTTAGCAAATACAGAGATTTCATCACGTTTCCCACCAGACAAGTACAGACCAATGCATTGCTCAATGTCTGTATGGTAAAATTATATGGTGTGGTATATGTAAAAGAGGAAAAGCCATAAATGGAGGACATCTTATTCCCCAGTAGAGTGGTGCCAATTTCGGTTGGTAGCACCACTGTGGCTTCCAGGAATCTAAAGAAAAATAAAAATATTATTTTAAATGGTTTCCCTAATGTGACACATTTACTTCAGAACAGAAGCATAAAATGTTCGACTCAGTAATGATATTCTAGACCTTATAATGGGATCTTGATGAACCTTTAATTATTATAGAATTATTCTCTAATTATTTTTGCTTATTTTCTCTTTTTTCTCCTGATTGGCTTATTGCGGGGTTTTTGTTTTTTGTTTTTTCAAGACAGAGTCTCACTCTTTTGCCCAGACTGGAGTGCAGTGTCAACCTCTGCCTCCCAGGTTCAAGCAATTCTCCTGCCTCAGCCTTCCAAGTAGTTGGGACTATAGGCATGCACCACCATACCCAGCTAATTTTTTGTTTTGCTAGAGATGGGGTTTCACCATGTTGGCAGGCTGGTCTTGAACTCCTGACCTCAGGTGATCTGCCCACCTTGGCCTCCCAAAGTGCTGGGATTACAGGCCTGAGCCACTGTGCCAGCCTTATTGCAGGTTATTTTTTGAGAATGAGATCTGGGTAACAAGCTATCTTTATTTTGACTTGGAATTTTTTTCTGCCCAAGATTTGAGAAACTCTGCCCCAGTAATTATTTAGGATAAGTTTACCCAGATGTTGATTAGAAGTGTTGTGTGGAGATAACATGTCAAATATAAATAAGTATCCACTTTGGCATGTTATTTATTTATTTAATTTATTTTGAAGCAGAGACTCATGCTGTTGCCCATGCTGGAATGCAGTGGTGCAATCTCAGCTCACTGCAACCTCTGCCTCCTGGGTTCAAGTGATTCTCCTGCCTCAGCCTCCTGAGTAGCTGGGACTACAGGTGCCTGCCACCACGCCCGGCTAATTTTTGTATTTAAGTAGAGATGGGGTTTCACCATGTTGGTCAGGCTGTTCTTGAACTCCTGACCTCAAATGATCTACCCACCTCAGCCTCCCAAAGTGCTGGGATTACAGGCGTGAGCCACTGCATCTGGCCTGGGATGTTACTTTTTATCTAAACAAATTGGCTACTCTATAAGACAAAATCTGTAGTAGTAGAAGTAGTAGTAGTAGTAGTAGTAGTAGTAGTAGTAGTAGTAGTGGTAGTTAGTAGTAAAGACATGGTCAATTTCAGAACTATGTAATACAATGAAATCCACACTTTATTTTCAAGATGCCTACTGGTGATTATTGTAAAATGTTTTAGTGTGTATCAGTAGGTGAAAAGCACTGGAGTACCACCTTACTTAGGAAGTCGCCTGAGCCCAGGACAACTTTCTTTTTCTCCTAGCTTGGTCCTTGGGATCATTTGTTATTTGCTGGTGAAAGGAAGCAAGGTATGCCACACCGAAATATGCCACTTTGACATAAAGATTATTTTTAGGTAAAGGCAATTGAGAAGAAGCAGACACAAGAAAGGTCTCTGCCTTCGTCCTATCTGCCTAAAAGTGGGATATAAATTTGTCAAGGTGTTCCCCCTTCCCTCTCTACCAGGAAAGACAGAAGTTAATCACCAGAGACCACTCTAGACCTTTATCATCCTGAAGACTGCACCCAGAGTAGTCTACATAGCAAATACTAACCAGCCTTTATCTATAATTAATTTCCCTACATATTTGCTCTCCCACAATTTGCCACCCCAGAAATTCAAAGTACTTTTCCTTTGTTTTGTCACTTCTCTACAAATTGTTCTTTTGTTAAGATGTGATCTAACCCCAAGTTCTAATCACCTCTTTGAGTTACTCATCACTGACTGCTCCTTTGTGTATACACAATGCACATGCTAGCAAACTTCTGCTTGTTTTTCTCTTGCTAATCTGTCAATTGCTAGTCTAACTTACAGGGCCCCATTTTCCCCTACATTTGCCTGGGACTCTCTAAGCAAACAACTCCATTGAGTTATCTGTATGAATTGTTAACAACAAGCAGAAAGTGATTTGGCTGATTTTTGTCCCCAGATGGGTTAAGGGCACTAACCAAATGTTATATACAGATCTGAATCTTTCAGTCTTGAGTGTTTACTTCTTGATATTTTCCCTCTTTTGACTTTCAGTTTCATGTTCTTTCTGGGGGATATGACTCTCTCTCTCTCTCTTTTTCTCCTCAAACTCTGAATTTCAGTTTCCTGATCTGTAAGAAGGAAATAATAATAAAATATTCATACTCATTAAGTATTATTACATGATTAAATGAGGTTATTCAAGTCACAAAATAAGCATTAGCTATTATCACCATTCTTCTTATTTAATTTCTATGTCAGTGTGTATAATGCAGAATAGTGGTAGAGGGACAAATTAGCCAAAAAGAAACTTTCTTAGTATAAAAGTGATTGATTCAAGGACTATTCTTTTGGTCAGTTTCAGAAATATGTAATACAAGGCACACTTTATTTTCAAGATGCCTACTGGTGATTATTGTAAAATGTTTTAGTGTGTTTCAGTAAGTTAAAAGTGTTGGACTAACACCTTACTTAGGAAATCAACCTAAGTGATTTGGGAGTTGTTAACTTTGGCTTTCTCCCTCTTTGTCCAACCTGCATTATCTTTTATATTCTTTTTTTAATATACTTTAAGTTCTGTGATACATGTGCAGAACATGCAGGTTTGTTACGTAGGTATACATGTGCCATGGTGGTTTGCTGCACCCATCAACCCGTCATCTACATTAGGTATTTCTCCTAATGCTATGCCTCCCCTTGCCCCCCATCCCCAACCAGGCCCTGGTGTGTGATGTTCCCCTCCCTGTGTCCATGTGTTCTCATTGTTCACCTCCCACTTATGAGTGAGAACATGTGGTGTTTGGTTTTTTGTCCTTGCGATAGTTTACTGAGAATGATGATTTCCAATTTCATCCATGTCCCTACAAATGACATGAACTCATCATTTTTTATGGCTGCATAGTATTCCATGGTGTATATGTGCCACATTTTCCTTATCCAGTCTATCATTGATGGGCATTTGGGTTGGTTCCAAGTCTTTGCTACTGTGAATAGTGCTGCAATAAACGTGTATGTGCATGTGTCTTTATAGTAGAATGATTTACAATCCTTTGGGTATATACCAGTAATGGGATTGCTGGGTCAAATGGTATTTCTGATTCTAGATCCTTGAGGAATTGCCACACTGTCTTCCACAATGGATGAACTAATTTACACTCCCATCAACGGTGTAAAAGTATTCCTATTTCTCCACATCCTCCCCAGCAACTGTTGTTTACTGACTTTTTGATAATCACCATTCTAACTGGCATGAGATGGTATCTCATTGTGGTTTTGGTTTTGCATGTCTCTAATGACCAGGGATGATGAACTTTTTTTCATATGTTTGTGGGTCACATAAATGTCTTATTTTGAGATCTGTCTGTACATGTCCTTTGCCCACTTTTTGATGGGGTTGTTTGTTTTTTTCTTGTAAATTTGTTTAGGTTCCTTGTAGATTCTGGATATTAGCCCTTTGTCAGATGGATAAATTGCAAAAATTTTCTCCTATTCTGTAGGTTGCCTGTTCACTCTAATGATAGTTTCTTTTGATGTGCAGAAGCTCCTTAGTTTAATTAGATCCCATTTGTCAATTTTAGCTTTTGTCGCAATTGCTGTTGGTGTTTTAGTCATGAAGTCTTTGTCCATGCCTATGTCCTGAATGGTATCGCCTAGGTTTTCTTCTAGGGTTTTTATAGTTTTAAGTCTTACGTTTAAGCTTTTAATCCATCTTGAGTTAGTTTTTGTATAAGGTGTAAGGAAGGGGTCCAGTTTCAATTTTCTGCATATGGCTAGCCAGTTTTCCGAACACCATTTATTAAATAAGGAATCCTTTCCCTATTGCTTGTTTTTGTCAGGTTTGTCAAAGATCAGATGGTTGTAGATGTGTGATGTTATTTCTGAGGCCTCTGTTTTGTTCCATTGGTCTATATATCTGTTTTGCTACTAGTACCATGCTGTTTTTATTACTGTAGACTTGTAGTATAGTTTGAAGTCAGATAGTGTGATGCCTCCAGCTTTGTTCTTTTTGCTTAGGATTTTCTTGGCTATACAGTCTATTTTTTGGTTCCATATGAAATTTAAAGTAGTTTTTGCTAATTCTGTGAAGAAAGTCAATGGTAGCTTGATGGGAATAGAATTGAATCTATAAATTATTTTGGGCAATTTGGCCATTTTCACGATATTGATTCTTCTTATCCATGAGCATGGAATGTTTTTCCATTTGATTGTGCCCTCTGTTATTTCCTTGAGCAGTGGTTTGTAGTTTTCCTTGAGGTCCTTCACATTCCTTGTAAGTTTATCCAGGAGTTGGTTTTTTGAAAAGATTAACAAAACAGATAGACCGCCAGCCAGACTAATAATGAAAAGAGAGAAGAATCAAATAGACACAGTAAAAATGATAAAGGGGAGATCACCACTGATCCCATAGAAATACAAACTACCATCAGAGAATACTATAAACACCTCTTTGCAAATAAATTAGAAAATCTAGAAGAAATGGATAAATTCCTGGACACATACACCCTCCCAAGTCTAAACCAGGAAGAAGTCGAATCCCTGAATAGACCAATAATAAGTTCTGAAGTTGAGGCAGTAATTAATAGCCTACCAACCAAAAAATGCCCAGGACCAGACAGATTCACAGCCGAATTCTACCAGAGGTACAAAGAGGAGTTGGTGCAATTCCTTCTGAAACTATTCCAAACAATAGAAAAAGAGGGAATCCTCCCAAACTCATTTTATTAGGCCAGCATCATCCTGATACCAAAACCTGGCAGAGACACAACAAAAAAAGAAAATTTCAGGTCACTATCCATGATGAATATAGATGTGAAAATCCTCAATAAAATACTGGCAAACCGAATCCAGCAGCACATCAAAAAGCTTATCCAGATCAAGATGGCTTCATCCTTGGGATGCAAGTCTGATTCAACATATGCAAATCAATGAATGTAATCCATCACATAAACAGAACCAATGACAAAAACCACGTGATTATCTCAATAGATGCAGAAAAGGGAAAAGGCCTTTGATAGAATGCAGACAACCCCTTCATGCTAAAACCACTCAATAAACTAGGTACTGATATCTCAAAGTAATAAGAGCTATTTATGACAAATCCACAGCCAATGTCATATTGAATGGGAAAAAGCTGGAAGCATGCCCTTTGAAAACCGGCACAAGACAAGGATGTCCTCTCTCACCACTCCTATTCAATATAGTATTGGAAGTTCTGGCCAGGGCAATCAGGCAAGAGAAAGAAACGAAAGTATTCAGATAGGAAGAGAGGAAGTCAAATTGTCTCTGTTTGCAGATGATGTGACTGTATATTCAGAAAATCCCATCGTCTCAGCCTAAAATCTCCTTAAGCTGATAAGCAACTTCAGCAAAGTCTCAGGATACAAAGCTAATGTGCAAAAATCACAAGCATTCCTACACACAAACAATAGACAAACAGAGAGCCAAATCATGAGTGAACTCCCATTCACAATTGCTACAAAGAGAATAAAATACCTAGGAATATCTTTTATATTCTAACAGGAGTATTAGCCAACCCTAGTGGGGGCTGTGAAGCAGCTGAGTATTTTTGGGAAGTTAATGATTTGCTCAGCACATACCAGGCCTGCAGCCCCCTTTCCAGGAGTGACTCCTTACACACTGGTTATACGTGTCTGTTGACCACTGTAACATCATCCTGGCCACATAATTTAACCAGTACCCCTGACCCAAAGGTGACCGTTATAGGCTTGCCAGAAAGCTTTATGCAGGAGGAACAATTCTGTATTGGAGAGCATCTAAACTGAATTAATCAGATTCTCTGTGTTAGAGCACATCACACACACACACACACACACACACACACACACATCAGGGTAGGTAGAAATAGAAAGGTTGAAAAACCTGTATCTAAAAAGGTTTTATAAGCAGACGCTTTGAAGCAATAGAAACCATAAATAAACAGAAACCAAGAATGAAGGAAAACTGGGAGAGTGGAGGGTCAATTCAGGCAGTAGAGAGCTCAGCAGGAGCAAAGAAACAGAAGAGGCATGCGTGCAGCGGTGACCCCAGGCTAGTCTTGGGCTTTGGTGGGAATATCAACCAGAGCTGATTGGACAATGAGAATTGCCAAGGCATTGAGAAAGAACTTTTAATTCTCCACAAGGACTGTTTAGATGATGTAAATATTTTAAAGGTAATGGGGCCTTCATACCTCCCTTCAAGTATTCCCAGATAGCGACCACTTGGTCAATCTTTGGGATAAGCTGGCCCTTACAGGGAACATTACACCTCACATTCTGACTTCTTTCTCTCCCTTTTCTTCCTTTCTCTTTGGCTAGCAGGTAACCTGCCAACACTTGGTGGTGTCTGTACCTGAGCATCCCAGCAGCACTCAGAGCTTAAACATGTGTCACACCTTCAGGCACCTTTCAGGTTGGCCTTTACCATAAAACCTCAATGCACTGTGTACTCAAAGGTAAAGCCTGGTGAGGAGAAAGGTCAAAGAGAGGACTCCTGTGAATATGTCAAAACAAGGAAGAATATGATTTATCAACTGGAAAGCAACTTGTTTATCTCTGTATATTTGCCACATATGCCATTTTCTCTACTCAGATGTTATTCACCCTTTCTCTGCTAGTCCAAGTCCCTCACCGTTGTTAGTGGCACAATGTCAGATGTAATCAAGTTCATGCACGTTTGTGTGTTTTCACAAGGTCAAGTTTTTATCGATGCTGTTTTCATCATTAAAGTCATGAGCTGCATGAAGTTCCCAAGAAGGCAATTTTCCTTAGAGCTGCAGGCACTCAAGCCAATCCACCAAGTCAGTCAACATTGTAAACTATACATAGTAGTGTATTTAATCTATATATAAATATTATAGATTAAACATTTCACCTTAAACAAAGTGATATTTAACATAAAGAGAAAAAGGGAAAGGAAAAAGGGTTTAATGAACCAACCCAAGGAAAGTAACATGAGAAAGAAGAGTGTCTTGGACTGATCCAGATGGTCCTCAGCATCTTGCAAGGAAGAATCTTTGATTTGGCGACAGCCTTTGGCAGCAAGGGCCGGGTTTTGATCATGAGTGACAGCAAAACAGTGTCTGTTAACATGGCCACCTTGAGTTGGTGAAGTCCCGTTTTTTTTTTTTTTTTTTTTTAATGTTTTTTTTTTTTTATTATACTCTAAGTTTTAGGGTACATGTGCACATTGTGCAGGTTAGTTACATATGTATACATGTGCCATGCTGGTGCGCTGCACCCACTAACGTGTCATCTAGCATTAGGTATATCTCCCAATGCTATCCCTCCCCCCTCCCCCGACCCCACCACAGTCCCCAGAGTGTGATATTCCCCTTCCTGTGTCCGTTTTTTTCTAAATAGCCCTAGAGTCCTCTGGTGAGTACTAATAGTAAAGAATGTGTGTAGTTATATCCTTCTCTGGTTGGGTGCAGTCTCTATTGATTAGGTGAACCTTTGATCCCTGTTGGCATAATGCTTTTGAAATGTAAAATTGAGTCTTTTTCTAAGATAGAGCTACTTATATCAAGGGTGCTCTATACACTCATGAAATCCCTGCAGAAGTAATCAAAATTTACTACCTCCAGGAAGTGTTTCCCAGTTCACTGATTTCTACCTCATCTGCCCTTAGCTCTTGATTATTTCTGTTGCCTTATATTAGAATGTGTAACAGAACCACTGCTTGGTAAAAAGGATTCTGATCATTTGTTTTCCCTTGTTTTGTGTCTAAAAGATTATGTCTCCTATTTCTTGCATGTCTTCTAAAACTTTAAGTACTCTGTGCATAATTAATACACAGTAAATATTAACTCATCTTCAGTAATAAACACCAGCAGCAAGTACTGACACTAATGAAAATTACTGAGAACGTACTCTGTGTCAGGTGAGGTATTTTTGCTTTACTTACATTATCTCTATTCCTCATATTGATATTAAAGGTAAATATTTTTCATTCCTAGTTTACAGATGAGAAAAATGAAACTCAGAAAAAGGTTAAACAATTTGCCAAAGTCACACAGGTTTTAAGTCATGCCATCAAGATTAAACTCAGTGTTTCTTTCCATTATACCACTGGTTAACATTTTTAGATATTCTCTTCTACTGAGGACACTCAATATCTCAAGGACTAGTATTGCCTATAGCCTAAAACATGAGTTTTCACAAGAGTCTACATTATTTTGAAAATATTTTGCATATCTGAATTAAGAATTTTCTTCCTTAAATGACTTTTAAGGAAACAAGTCACTTATTTATTTTTTATCTATAGTTTTTTTTTCTTTTTTATTTTGTGGTTGTGGAAAATCCAGTGGTGATTCGTACGTACAAAATAAATTTCAAAGCTTTTATTAAAGGTATGCAGCACCCTCCGCCCTGCCTCAAGGGCATGACTCACAAACTCTCCTTATCGTTTATATTTTAATTTAATGTAGGCCACAAATATTGTCTAGGGTTGAAGCCAGAGAACATGACTCACATTATTCAGTGACTCTTTTGTACCTTAAAATCTTATCAATGTAAAAAAGATTGTAAACAGCTCCTTGAAATTGTATGTATTAATGTTAATGGTATAATAATATTTAGCTTACTAATATTTTAATTGGATGAGGCTTCTTACTGTTTAAACTGGATTTGGGTCTAGGTGATTTTCTGTTTAATCCATCCATTAATCAAGTAATCTTTGAGCACTGACTTCATAAATTCAAGAGTTAAAAAATAATTGTAAGTAATATGTGACTCACAGAAAAAACAGTTATAAGGAGGTTAGGTTTGCAGAGAATTCTCTTCAGACAGACAATTAAAAATAAATCTCTAGAGCCTCCTCTATATATGTTAGCCTCTATATATATTCTGATTAGAGACTTGCTTGTGTCATACTGCTATATGCCTTTTCCTGGGACTCAAATATGTATGTATCAAAAAAGGCAATTGCATTTATATTATGAGGCAAAGAGCAGATAAAAGCACTTTGTAACAGGTAATCGGGGTTAGTCTGGTCTAGGATGGCAGAGAAGTTACACAGCTCAACTAGGTTAGCACCATTTGTCCTCTTATATCTCTAGCACTCTAATATCCTTTACCCTAAATATCATCTTTAGATCATGGCAATTCAATATAGACCAGAGCTATTTATAAGAAACTGACAAATCAGTGCTCCAATGGTCATTTGGATCGAAAAACACACTGCTAGGCAAAAATATGATTATTAAAGAATCATATCCAATAATCTATACATTCTCTGCCATTGAGAGAAATGTATTAAATATATGATAATCAAGAGCAGGACTTTTCTTAGTTTATTTGAAGGCAGAGTGAAGGGCTAGGGTGATTTTAAAGGATGGTTCTCTTAGGCCTGCTGTGTTACTTTTTCCTCCCTTACAGACCAGATAACCCAGGGAGAGCATGCTAGATATTGCTGCAGACAAATTTGTCTGTATGTCAATCCTTAGTCTGCTTAAATTATAGAAAACAAATAAAAATTATAAAACCCTACAAAAAAAACAAGATAATGAGAGAGTTCATTATTATTGAGAGATTCCAATACTTTTCTGAAATAAACAAAATGATAATATTGATGTTTCAGAGTTTATTTCATAAAAATTTGTGTTTAGTACTGGTCTTATTTATTTATTTATTTATTTATTTATTTATTTATTTATTTGAGACACAGTCTTGCTCTGTCACCCAGGCTGAAGTGCAGGGGCATGATCTCGGCTCATTGCAACCTCTGCCTCCCAGGTTCAAGTGATTCTCCTGCCTCTGTCTCCCGAGTAGCTGGGACTACAGGCATCCACCATGACACCCAGCTAATTTTTGAAGTTTTAGTAGAGATGGGGTTTCACAATGTTGGACACACTGGTCTTGAACTCCTGGCCTCAAGTGATCTGCCCATCTTGGCCTCCCAAAGTGCTAGGATTACAGGCATGCACCTTTGCGCCCTGTCCTGGTCTTTTACTTTTAAAAACACTTTCAGGGTTTATAACATTAAAAAAAATCACTGAAATTCAGTAGTTAATGCATTGCAAATAAAAAATATGAGTGCATTATAGAATATCAAATTTACAAACATTTGTTAAATATGTATTATCTTTCTCAATAATTTGTTAAATGTGTATTATCTATCTTTCTACATTTGTTAAATATGTAATATATTTCTTAAAATTACTTGTTAAAAGGTATTATTAAAATAAGAAAAGTATAACATGAAGAAAATGGAATCAGTTATAAAAAATTAAAATAAAATAATATTGTTAGATTATTTTTAAATGCTTATTTTAAAAAACAAATCAATTCAAAGATTTTATTCCTGAGTCATGAAAACTGATAAACTTTCCAGTGCTGAAACAGCTCTTTCTGATTCTATACCAGTTTGGGAACAATTGAGGAGATAGCTATAAGCTGACTCCAGATAGTTTCCTCTGATACTCTGAGCTTAAAATAACACCACTATTTATTTCATAACTTTGAAGACATCTCTATTTATTTATTTTAGTTGAGACTGGGTCTTGCTATGTTGCTGAAGCTGGTCTCAAATTGCTATCTGTGATTACAGGCATAAGCCACCATGCCTGGCACAGGTATCTTTTAAATTAACCTATCCCAGCTGGGATTGCAATTTTTTCACTGTAGTTTTGCTTTCAAAGAAAGTACTTTATGTTCACTTTCGTAGTCTTTAGTTCATCTACAGATGAATATTTAGTACATCGAGTTTTCTGTATTAATTTCAATACTACCATGTTCATGCTTTACATTTTTGGAAAATCTTCTAATCTGCTATCATAATTCAATAAAGTGTCTCCACTAATTGTGTAAGTTTAGTTATGATAAATAATAACAAAGTGCTGACTTATCTTAGTAATTTACATTTTAACATTCATTTCAGATTCTAGTTTTTTGTTTTGTTTTGTTTTGTTTTTATAAAGTCACTCTCACTCCTTTCTAGTATGTTTTCTTAGAGAGAAAGAGGTAGAACGACAGCTGGTGCCCTGTGCAGTTCAAAGACATGTGCACATGTCCCACCACTTGGGACAACAGAAAATAGGTTGAAAATGAATAAGCTTACTTAGATCTCATTGGGAAACTATCTTTGGTCACCAGCGGTTTCTGGGACCCATTTCTTGAGTTAGTGCTTAAGTTCCGAGGGGCTTCATTTTAGTTTTTGGATTGTGATGTGCCTCAAACCCCATCAAGTGACTGGATTTTCTAGAAAATGAGTAATGGTAGAGCAAACAGATTCAAAGTCATTAATTTAATTTGGATATGACAAAATACCCTGGGAGCAAATGAAAATTAACATAAATGTCTCAATTTCTACCAGTTATGCAATGTTCTAACATCTTCAAGCTGAAAGCACTCTGAAGTCAGCACAAACTGACAGGTGTAGGACTTTCCAAAATGTGTAAAGCATTTCCCCCTGGAGGAAGGATGGATCAAATTCTACCCCTTGCTTGATCAGATTCATCAACTTGCATATTTGTACAAGAGGGAGTCCAATCTGCCTAATCATTTCTGTTTGCCAATGTTTTGGAAAGTTGGGAAATAATTTTGGTTTTGAAAAATTTTAACACAAATCCTCAATGATGCTTTACCAGGCAATGACTGAATTCCTACATCTGGATTATATTATCCCATTTGGGATTAGACTAATGATTAAAATGGTCCTGGCAGCAAGGTAATTAGATGGGTTCCCACACTGAGGCAAACTCATAGCAAAGGCCCTTGGGTCATGACTCTTTGGGGGAAATTCTGCCTAGTCTTATAGCCCTGTCTAGTTCTGCACATATCCGTATCTAGGTGTCTGGGACAGACTCACTGAAGTAAATAAGAGTGAAAACACAAGGACAGTGCCTGGCCCGTCAGTGACTTCCTAATAAATGTCACTTCCTTCCTCACCCGTCTCCCTTGCTCCCTTCCTCTTTCTTTTTCTATTCCTCCCCTCCCTCCCTCCTTTGCTCTCTCCCTTCCTCCATTCCTCTCTCCCTCCCTCCTCCCTTCTCTTCCTCCCTGTCTTTCTTCCTTCCATGTCAAGGGACAAATTACAAGCTGCCTGCTGCTAGTCAATTTTACAGATGAAATCCTCAAAAAGGCAAAACTTACATTCTACATTTAAGGACATTAACCAAGGAATGAAGCCTTTGTTTTTACCTATAAAAACTTTTACTTTGGATAAAAGAGTGTGTTATACTTGCTCTGTACTTGAACAAAAAGTAGTGCCAATAAAGTAAGGATAAGAAATGAATCTTGTGCCAACCCCTTTAACCCTATAAAAGCATCTCAGTGAGGCAGATGCCCAAATTATCACCCTCCAAACACTCACCTCCAAATGAAGGTATCTGCAGACCACCGAGTGGCAGAGAAAATTGCCTTTGTGCTCTGGAATCTCATTGTCTGCTGGCTGCTACCAGTTCCCTTATGTACTTCTAGAGAATGAGATATCCTAACCAATGTGGAGTGAAATTCCATCTTGCAGAGGTAACAGGTCCTTCCTGTTGGTGTTTCCCTAATTGAGCATGTAGTTTTTTCATTTAACGGTGATGATTGTGTGCTATCTTTCTAGCATATTTGAAAGCCTTTTATCAACTTCCTTTGAGATCAACACAGAGGAGAGGAGAAACTCCAAGCTCCTGCAGAACAGACCCCAGCATATGGCAGGCCTTCTTTGGTCTAGAATCAAATGGCCAACTGGATGCTGAAACTTTAGCCCTGGTGACGCAGCCAAAGTGTGAAACTCCTGACGCAGTGGAGTATAATTTTTTTCCCTAAGAAAATGAAGCAGCTAACTGGTATCCTGACACACAGGTGAACGTGTCGCTCATAATTTTTTCTCTATGCAATGTGTAATGTTGCTATAGCTGGCAGGGTTCACTTTTGCAGATCACATCTTTACGTGTTAAGAAGTAGTTTGGGATAATACAGAGTATTCTGGGCTATCCTAGCCAGGTGGCTAAGGCTCTAATTCCAGCACCAAGTTTATCACTTTGTGCAATTTTAAGGAAGCTTCTCAATGTCTTTGAACTGTTTTTCAATGTAATATAAAGGAATTAAGCTTGATGATCTCTGGAGGTGTTTGGAGGATCTACAAGTCTATATCATCCTCAAATCACTTCTGCGTATTCCATATCAGGCTTTATCTCTCTTACTTGAATCCTCAGTTACTAAGTCATTTCTAGGTGGCTTAAAATACCCTTTAAATTTCTTTGTATCCTCTTTTATTTCACTGAGCAGTGGTTTGGTTTGTAGTTCTCCTTGAAGAGGTCCTTCACATCCCTTGTAAGTTGGATTCCTAGAAATTTTATTCTCTTTGAAGCAATTGTGAATGGGAGTTCACTCATGATTTGGCTCTCTCTTTGTCTGTTATTGGTATATAAGAATGCTTGTGATTTTTGCACATTGATTTTGTATCCTGAGACTTTGCTGAAGTTGCCTATCAGCTTAAGGAGATTTTTGGCTGAGACGATGGGGTTTTCTAGATATACAATCATGTCATCTGCAAACAGGGACAATTTGACTTCCTCTTTTCCTAATTGAATACCCTTTATTTCCTTCTCCTGCCTGATTGCCCTGGCCAGAACTTCCAACACTATGTTGAATAGGAGTGGTGAGAGAGGGCATCCCTGTCTTGTGCCAGTTTTCAAAGGGAATGCTTCCAGTTTTTGTCCATTCAGTATGATATTGGCTGTGGGTTTGTCATAGATAACTCTTATTATTTTAAGATACGTCCCATCAATACCTAATTTATTGAGAGTTTTTAGCATGAAGGGTTGTTGAATTTTGTCAAAGGCCTTTTCTGCATCTATTGAGATAATCATGTGGTTTTTGTCTTTGGTTCTGTTTATATGCTGGATTACATGAATCAATATGGTGAAAATGGCCATACTGCCCCAAGGTAATTTATAGATTCAATGCCATCCCCATCAAGCTACCAATGACTTTCTTCACAGAATTGGAAAAAACTACCGTAAAGTTCATATGGAACCAAAAGAGACCCCACATTGCCAAGTCAATCTAAGCCAAAATAACAAAGCTGGAGGCATCACGCTACCTGACTTCAAACTATACTACAAGGCTACAGTAACCAAAACAGTGTGGTACTCGTACCAAAACAGAGATATAGACCAATGGAACAGAACAGAGCCCTCAGAAATAATGCCGCATATCTACAACTATCTGATCTTTGACAAACCTGACAAAAACAAGAAATGGGGAAAGGATTCCCTATTTAATAAATGGTGCTGGGGAAACTGGCTAGCCATATGTGGAAAGCTGAAACTGTATCCGTTCCTTACACCTTATACAAAAATTAATTCGAGATGGATTAAAGACTTAAATGTTAGACCTAAAACCATAAAAAGCCTAGAAGAAAACCTAGGCAATACCATTCAGGACATAGGTGTGGGCAACGACTTCATGTCTAAAACACCAAAAGCAATGGCAACAAAAGCCAAAATTGACAAGTGTGATCTAATTAAACTAAAGAGCTTCTACACAGCAAAAGAAACTACCATCAGAGTGAACAGGCAACCTACAGAATGAGAGTAAATTTTTGCAATCTACTCACCTGACAAAGGGCTAATATCCAGAATCTACAACGAACTCAAACAAATTTACAAGAAAAAAACAAACAATCCCATCAAAAAGTGGGCAAAGGATATGAACACACTTCTCAAAAGAAGACATTTATGCATCCAAAAGGTGCATGAAAAAATGCTCATCATCACTGGCCATCAGAGAAATGCAAATCAAAACCACAATGAGATACCATCTCACACCAGTTAGAATGGTCATCATTAAAAAGTCAGGAAACAACAGGTGCTGGAGAGGATGTGGAGAAATAGGAACACTTTTACACTGTTGGTGGGACTGTAAACTAGTTCAACCATTGTGGAAGTCAGGGTGGCAATTCCTCAGGGATCTAGAACTAGAAATACCATTTGACCCAGCCATCCCATTACTGGGTATATACCCAAAGGATTATAAAACATGCTGCTATAAAGACACGTGCACACGTATGTTTATTGTGGCACTATTCACAATAGCAAAGACTTGGAACCAACCCAAATGTCCAACGATGATAGACTGGATTAAGAAAATGTGGCACATCTACATCATGGAATACTATGCAGCCATGGAAAATGACGAGTTCATGTCCTTTGTAGGGACATGGATTAAGCTGGAAACCATCATTCTCAGCAAACTATCACAGGGACAAAAAACCAAACACTGCATGTTCTCACTCATAGGTGGGAATGGAACAATGAGAACACATGGACACAGGAAGGGGAACATCACACACCGGGGCCTGTTGGGGGGTAGGGGTAGGGGGAGGGAAAGCATTAGGAGATACAGCTAATGTAAATGATGAGTTAATGGGTGCAGCACACCAACATGGCACATGTATACATATGTAACAAACCTGCACATTGTGCACATGTACCCTAAAGCTTAAAGTACAATAATGAAAAAAAACCTCTAAAATAAAAATTTTAAATTACAAAATATGATAAAGTACTAATGGTTTTATTTTTTTTTATTGTGTAATAATTATCAACGAGAATTGAACTTTAGGAAAAAGCTAAAATTAGTTGTCTCTTTACTGTGGTAGCTTGGTACAACAAATCATCTTCCAAATTTAGAAAGTTCAGAATCAACAAATATTAGCCCATATCATTGAGTGGAGCTGATTCTTTCTCAAGTGAGATTCTAAATAACAACTCAAATGAAGTGAAGGATTAAGACATGAGCTAATTCTAACAAAAAAAAAATCTGTAGATAATCTTCTTGAGCCTTTCCTTTGTCTCCATTTATTTATTCATTTGTTCATCCACTCAGCACATTTTAATACAGTGCCTAATATGCAACAGGCCTAGGGCTAATCTCTAGGGATATACAGATGAATAAGAAACATTTTTGCACTCAACTTCAAGTACATCTGAAAGATATTTCTCTACTAGTGAATGTCTTTTAAAGAAAAATCTATTGATTTAAAGGCTGCTAATAGATTTGAATATTTTATATAGTGTGCGTAAAACTCATTTAGCAAAATGTTGGAGAAAGGATACACTTCAAAGTCTTTCTGTGTTAATGCTTAATTTTACTCAAAAAGCAAATCAAAGAGAGTGAAAGCTAATTCTTTCTAAGGGTTTATGAACTTAATGATCCTTTTACCTTTTTTATAACAATATTTTTTTTAATGTTGTGTCTAAGAACTCTGGCAACACCAGTTCAACCTTTCAGTATATCACTAGTTGGTCTATAGCACAGGCTGAATGTTAATTTATTAGTTGTACTCAATTATCTCTTGCCTTGTACTTCAATATAATTTAAAAGATAAACATTTTATAATAAATGGAATTTTACAACCTTATTTAAAATGATTAATGTCTTATTAAGTTTTTCAACCTTGGGTGATTTTAGAACAGTTTAGTTTTTTTTAAACCAAGAACACTCATAAATACAGAAAAAATAAGGCTGTCTCTAAAGAAACTTTAATATACCATGGTGTACCTTAGATTTCTGATTCCCTAAGGAACAAAAATAATCATCAAAAGAATTTATTTTTTAAAATACAACAATATTTAAAATGTCATATTTGAGGCTTACTGAAATGCCTCTCATGTGTATGTATGTCGGTCAGAATAGTGAATTACATGCCAGATTTACCCTCTGAAACTGTGGACCTTACCGTCCAAGCAGCATTCAAGGTTTGGAGTGATGAGACCCTACTTCATTTCAATAGACTTTTCTGGGACACTGCTGACATCATGATCTTCTTTGGAAGCAGAGATAATAACGAAGAAACGATTTTCTTTATTGAAGATTTCCCATTTTTGAATACCCTCTCTGTGAAGTGATAGGCTTTGTTATTGTCTTGATGATTTTCCCAGTTATTTTCTGAGTTCCTTCCCTTTTAGAACATGGTGATTTCTCCCCATTTGATGGGCCCTTTTAGACAGCCAGCTCATGCCTTTTCTCCTGGTAAGGGTCTGAAGGTGATGTTTACTTAGATGATGATGAAGTCTGGACAAATGATTCCAAAGGCAAAGATGAATATTCTTCAGGATTTAATGTGGTCATTGAACTTGAAGAGTGGTCAAAGTTACAGAAATCTCCCTTTACAGAGAAAATTGCTTTGTCCAGTTTATGTACATAAGTGGTCAAAATATTGGGATTTCTAGCTTATATCCCTAAATGGCAATTAAGGCAACAAAACAGAGTCAAACAAAATGCTTTTTGAGGTCCTGGAGGGTTAAGCTAACACCATGGGAATTGTGTGGTAACATTATAAGGTTTGACTTGACCCAGTTTTTTTCCCTCAGTGGTTGAAGAAAGTGTAACAGAGTTTACCAATTGTCAATCATTTAAATTGCAGTGTGGTGAAACTATTTACAGTGATTCACAAACAAAACATATTGTCATACATTCAGATATGACAATAGTCTTTATTTCATGTTTGACTGCTTTATTTTATATTCCTATTCTTTACTGACATTTTGACTAAATGTTATACTAAGAGGTAGGTAACACAGACATTAAGTATCTATCTACAAGGTCTCTACTTTTTTATTAGGGACAAAAGTGTCATTCTGACTATAAGCTGACATACAAAATGTTTCTCATAGTAACCTAATGAACAGTAGAAAAGCTTTCTGTAAAAATTCCCCAAAGTCGGGCAAATGTGGAATTAAGAAAGAGTGTGTGTGTGTGTATCAATTATATATAATACCTATGTTTGCCAAATATTTTCTGCCTGATGGCTTGCTGAATCAATAAGGATTATTGTAATTGACATGTTTATTGTTTTTATGTGAATATTGCTAAATACTTAGAAACAACCTAAAGCCTCAGATTTGAATTTCTCTTGTGTGTCTATCTATTATTGCTGGAGAATCAGCAACTGTTTTCACAGTGCGAAAATAAACTTTGAACAAACTCCATTATCATTAATTCAGAATTTAATCCTTTTAGCTACCACACATTGAGCGTTTCCCATTTTCCAGGTGCTCTGATATGAATAATGTAAACAACAACAAAAGCTCATTGCTACTGCAGTTACTGAGCTCTTATAATGTGCCAAGTGCTTCACAATTGTATTCTCACACTAACCCTATAAGACTAGTTTTCTTATCCTCACTTCACTATGAGGAAACAGTGGTATGTCTGGTTTCAAGGCCTATATTTCATTACCAGTTCTGCTATTTGTTTTACACATCCCAAGCTAGTTAGAATTTTAGACATAATATTAGATTGGTGCAAAAGTAACTGTGGATTTTTCCATTAAAAATAACGTTAACAGTTGTGTTGTGCCTATGAACCAGGAAATTTTCCTTCACCCCTTCCCACGAGTCACGGAAGGGGTGACTTGTTTACTCAGTCGGCAGCTCTCAACCCCTTGCAGGAAGGGGAGCAGGCAGAGTGGGTGGAGGGGCCGGGATGAGTGCTTCTGGGCGCCGGCAGTAGCAGAACTCTGTGCAGGCCCTCGGCAGCATGGGGGCGGGGGAGTACCCGCAACCCCCGACCCCCAGAGGGTGTGTGTTCCAGTGTGCTCTTTTAGCTTTGCCATCCAGGGATGGCTTAAGTATTTAACAACTCAATATGGCAGCCCTCTGTATCCCGAGCTCTTATCTGGTATCCCGGAAGATTTAGGTTGCATGAACAAATTGAAGGTCGTAAATGTGGGGGATTTTATTGCCAACGGAAGTGGCTCTCAGTGGGATGGAGAGCTGGAAAGCGGGTCTTCCCCTGGAGTTCAGCCATCCTGAGCCAAACTCTTCTCCGAGGTCCTGCAGTCAAGCCGTCTCTCTGAAGTCAGGCTAATTCTCGCCGATTGAGCTGCTGCTTTTCTCTCCTTCTCTGCCACTTCACTGCCAGTGGAGCCTGGGGTTTTTATGGGTACAAGATTGGGGGTGGGGTGGGCCAGGGTGGTTTTGGAAACGGCAACATTCAAGTGGGAAAACAGGGATGTAAAGTTCTCACTTTGGGCCATGGGTCCAGGCTTGAGGGTGGGGCCCTCGCTGGGCACTACCCTCTTCTAACCAGTATTTCCCTGCCTTCTGTCTGTATCACCTATATATTGTATTTGTTTTCCTAAAAGTAAAGTGGCCATAATCATAATTTTTCTCTTATCCATTACTGCCTAGCAACTGAGGAGTCAAAGGGCAAGCAGAATCAATGATGGACTCTCGGTGGCTCCAACATGCACCCTTAGGCATCGTGCCACTGAGGATGGTATCCCTACAGGTTTTGGCTTTGTCCTTCTTCCTTAAATATGCTATAGAGGAGGGATGTAATTAATAAGCCTTGAAGAATCAATCTAACAAAATCCTTTAGGAGAACTCTGATTTTGGAGGGCATTTACCTAAGTCATCAACATCTTTCCTTGTAGACTTTAATGTGTTTGCTGTGGCTTCACATGAATTTGGCCATGCCTTGGGCCTCCATCACTCCAATGCCCCTGAGGCTCTGATGTACCCCATTCTACAACCACCCTAGCAAGAGAAAATGATGCTCTCTGAGGATGATGTCAAAGGCATCTAGATTCTCTATGCTTTGCTTAAGTTTGTTTTTCTTCTTTTTCTAGAAGTATTCATTTGCCTTGCTAATTCCCTAAAAGAGGTTTACCCCAAGTCTGTGTGCTGTGAAACTCCAGTATGACAAGAAGCAACCTGACAATTGTTCCAGGTTCAAATAACTTAAGAGAATCACTGCAAGCTCTACCTCTCTTATATTCTCAGGATGTCATGAAGCTCTCGGAAGTCCCCCAGGAAAGAGACTCCCTCATGGTTTTTAAATCCAGTATCTCCCAAACTTATTTGATCACAGAAATTTCCCATCCTTCCTTGAAATATGGTCTGAAGTCTTTTTCTTCTTACGTTTCATTTAGACATTATAACTAGAATGCTAATGATTATTAATCAGAGACAGCTTGAAGCAAATCAAGAGGCTATGTTGGGTCACTATTTTCTTACTTTTAGGTCCAAGACAGAGATCACCCAACAGTCACATTCCAGAAAAATGTGATCCAGACTTTATACTTGATACCATCACACAGTTACGAGGGGAAAAGTTGTCTTTAGGACACAGATGTCTAATTTTGGACCTAATACTGTATGCTCCAGCACAATTTGTTTCCATTCCCGGACAGGAAGCTTGTTTTCACCCTGTTCCTTTGTGCTGTGCTCATTTTGCCTAGACTAACGCCTTTCTCCAAGACATTTACGTGGCTGGACCTTTCTTCTCCTTCAGGTCCCAGTCTTAAATATTTCTCATTAGAGAGGCCCTCTTTGACATTTGATTGAAAGTGTTCACCCTCCTCACCCTGGCTCCAATCGCTCTACAGAATCATTTAACTTTATGTTCTTAATGACACCTACAACTCTCCCAAAATTGCCTTTTTCAATGTCTCTTTTATCTTCTTTCTAAGACGTAAGAGTCCTTGTCTAGATTGATCACTCTATATCCCCTGTGCTTATAGCAGTGCCCAGTGGGATGGGCCTAGAGCATTCCTCCTCCAGACAGCTGCGTAGCTCACCCCTTCACCTCCCTCAGGTCTTTACTCAAATATCACTTCCTCAGCCAGGTCCTCCCTGGCCTCCATATATAAATTGCAACATTTCCCTGACCACCCTGATCTTCCTACTCCCTCTCCTCTTTCTTACTCTAGTTTTCTCCTTAGGAAAATACTATGTATTTCTCTAGTAATTGTATCTCTCCCTCCCTGCTAGAGTGTTAGCCTCATGTTAACCAGGATCTTGATGTGGTTTGCTCTCTGCTATATCCTCAGTGCCTACAACAGTTCTAGGCATATGGTTGGCTCTTAATAAATATTCACCGGATGAAAGAATGGATGAAAGGCCACTCAGCCTGTTAAGTGATGGAGTCTGAAATTGAACCATGTCTCTCTGACCCAAGGCTGTGCATTCTTTCACTATGTTAAGCACTGCCCCACAGATGCTTATTCAGGCCTGGTGCTGTGGATCTCCCAGACCCCAGCAGACTTCTCCTGATGATGGTGCAAGTATTCCTATATTTTGGCTTTTCTTGTGCCAAATTTAATAGACGTTAAGAAAATTTTAAAAAAGAGTTTTGCTCTTGCAGACTTCTATGAGATGATCTCTCGTCTCTAATTGATACAATCTAATTACATAATCTTGCTTTATAAAGATTAGATTTTTCTGGTCTGACCTTTTCCAGTTCCCTGAAGAGGCGATATTGCTAATCCATTCATTTTGGGCTGATTTCCCCAACCACATTGATGTCGTTTATGAAGATCCTATGAAAGATTTACATTCCTCTTCAGAGGTGAATGCCTTCTACTTCTGTTGGGAAAGGAGGGCTTCTGTCAGGATGTATGCAGGCTTTTCCACATCTGTCGGAGTATACTGCTCCTGCTAGTCTCAAGTTTGCTGGATATATGGAAGCCCTGCAGCCCCAACTATGTTCTCCATCACGGTTAGGGTGCCTTTCATCATGTCTGGGATTCCATCATTAGACATTTAGTTCTTTGAAGCTTGGAGGCTTGTTATCCTTTCAACAATTACAAATATGGCCAGGTGTGGTGGCTCACATCTGTAATCCCAGCACTTTGGGAGGTCGAGGCAGGCGGATTGCTTCAGCTCAGGAATTTGAGACCAGCCTGAGCAATATGGAGAAACTCCATCTCTACAAGAAGTTAAAAAAAATTAGCTGGGTGTGGTGGCATGCACCTGTGGTCCCAGATATTCAGGGGGCTGAGGTAGGAGGATTGCATGAACCCAGGAAGCAAAGGTTCTAGGGAGCCAAGATCGTGCCACTGCACTCCAACCTGGGTGAAAGAGTGAGACCTTGTCTCAAAATAATAATAACTACAAATATTTGCAAGAAGAACAAGGCCGATTTTAAAGTTTTAAAGTTTGGTTGGTGGTACAATAGTGAGGTTAAGACAGCTAAGTCTAATGTTCTGAGATAATAGAGGGCAGGACAGGAGACAGTGATGACGTAGAGATGAATTACCAAGGTGAGAGAAGAGAGATGAAAATTGATTGAAAGATACTGGAGAAGAATATGTCATTCCTTGCACCAGAATGTCAGCTTTGCAAGAGCAGAAATTTTTGTCTGTTTTGGTTAGAAATACTTATCTCTAGAACCAAGAACAGTTTCTGGCAGTGAATGAGTGAGCTAATGAATGAACGAATAAATGAATGAATATAATAACCCTTTCACAGGAGCCATGTAGTGAGTTTAGCTCTTTACCTGCATCATCTCATGAAAGCCTTCATGTGACCCTTCCTTGACAGAGGAGGAAGGGAAGGTTGGCGAAAATGAAACAAACTGCCCAAAGTCAGGGAGCTCATAAATGGCAGAGTTGGGATTTTGGCTGGTGCATCTGACTCCAAGGCCTGGCCTGTGCTCTTAATCCCTACATGGCTCCATTGGTTTATTTGAGGGCTGGATCACTGGAGAGGTAAAAGAAACAAACATCATCCATACTTCAAAATATTTCTTTGTAATTTAGAGTTAGTTTATGATGTTTCTTGCCTTACACATGTTAAGATAGACTATAGGCTAAATATATCAATAAATCAACTTTAAGGAGAGAGGTGAGTGTATGTATGTGTGTGTGTGTGTGTGTGTGTGTGACAGAGAGAGAGACGGTCCCTGACATATTATACATGAGTACCCTATTTTTAAGAGAAAACAATGAATTTCTTGGATTTCTTTTCTTTTTGACCCCAACCTTTTTTTTTTTTTTTTTTTTTCCAGATGAAGTATCTCTGTCGCCCAGGCTGGAGTGCAGTGGTGCGATCTCGGCTCACTGCAACCCTCTGTCTCCTGGGTTCAAGCAATTCTCCTACCTCAGCCTCCCGAGTAGCTGGGATTACAGGCATCTGCCACCATGACCAACTAATTTTTGCATTTTTAGTAGAGACGGGGTTTCACCACATTGGCCAGGCTGGTCTAGAACTCCTGACCTCAGGTGATCTGCCCGCTTCGGCCTCCCAAAGTGCTAAGAAACAGGAATGAGTCACCGTGCCCCTGCCCCTTTTACTTAGCTTTTTAGCAATGCAATTATAACCTTTACCTTCTCTCCACCAGGCACAGCAAGGTTATCTAACAATGTGTTTACTTAGAAGTTCCACAGAAGAAACCTTGAAGCAAATCAGGTCTCTGGAACTCTCTTCCACCAGGAGATTGCTTCAACTTACAGCTTACCTCTGCCTGCGATGGCTCCAGCCAGACCACCCAGTAGATACGACACCCGAAGCAAGTCACAAAGCAAGTCATGTAGACCCCCACACCTCATTGTTTCCTCCCCTACATGCCATTCATGTCAAACCCTCCTTTTAAAAGCCCCTGTCTTCTGCCTGAAGACTGAGATGCTGCCCTCAAGGCAGGAGCCTATACTACCTCCCCTCAGCTAGCTCTGAAATATGGTCACTTTCTTTCTACCAGGCCTCGCTCCTTTTAATTGGACTCTGCAAGCAGTGAGCGACTGGACTTGCATTCCATTACAACATGATGCTTCAGCTTATGATTTTTTGACTTTACAATGGTGCACAAGATATATGCATTGAGTAGAAACTGTACTTCAAATTTTGAATTTTGATTCAAAATTCTTTATAATAACTTTATTATAAAATGGGCTTTGTGTTAGATGATCTTGCCCAATTTTAGGCTAATGTAAGTGTTCCGTGCACATTTAAGGTAGTCTGAGTTAAGCAATGATATTTGGTAGGTTAGTTGAATCAAATGCATTTTTGACTTATGATATTTTCAATTTATGATGGGTTTATTTGGATGTAACTCCATTGTAAGATAAGGAATATGTATACACACACACATACTATATATATGTGTATGTAGTGTGTGTGTGTGTGTGTATGGAGGCAGATTATCTCAAAAATCTTGAGATGTTACATAATTTTTTTCTTCTGAGAAAAGTTTTTATTTCCCAAACATTATGTAATAACATTACATTCTGTTTTTGTGTATTGCTTTTTATCAGATAATCTGCTTTTTAAAAAATATGTAATGGCTTCCACTTTAGTGAATTAAGGTAACAAGGTGAGACTAAGTTGTTTAAAAATAGACCTTTGCCTCATTGTTTAAACATTAGGAATCTTTAAATGTAATAAAATTGCTTGTTGTTAAAACCACTAAAGCATTTCTCCATTTTCCTAACTTGTTTTTATTTCTATTATTCACTACCAAGCAATCTAGATTTTTCCTTTTTCAAAGACATTTGGGAAGGGTTGGGCTAGAATGTGTGTTCTATTCCCAGTTGTTTTCTCTTAGAGTATTTGGTTAAATCTGGCCAAGGTGGACATTCAGTAACCACTCTTTTTCAACCAAACACACAAAAAAATAAAATTCTTTAGGAGGGGAGCCCAGGAAATTAGGACTTGACTTTCAGATGTTATACTCCAGTAAGAACCAAAAATAATTTATTTTACTTCTTGTAAATTCTTTTAGTAACTTTTGTGGATCAACCCAGTATGAGTATGGCATCTCTGAAGAGCATATCATTCAAATGTTAAAAGTAAATGACCTCCTAAGTTACTCAACCTTTGCTTTGTAGCCACAGCATGTAAAATGAGCTCTTCTTTGTTTTGTTCCACACCTGTGGATGATGCCATGACTGCACAAAAGTAGTGTTTAAATTCAAATTTAGAAGAAATCTAGCTTTCCTTTTTTTTTTTTTTTAATGGCGCCTCCCTGTCTGCCCTAGGCTGTCCTCAAACTTCACCCCTGGGCTCAAGCAATCCTCCAACCTCAGCCTCCTGAGTAGCTGGGACTATAGACATGCCCTATGCCCAGCTAGTTCTCCTTTTTAAGACCATGTAAGCCCAGCTCATGAGGTTATGAAAAAAAAAGAGAAATCGGAAGGTAGAACTAAGCAACCATCAGAGAGTGTTTACAAAAAATTATTACTTCGTGCACTTGCAGAGTCAAATCACTTACATTTTAGAAAAATAAACACACCGCTAAGTGTCATCGACAATGAGTTTTTACTATACTCTAAACTGAAGCCAAAATCTTGATCTTAATCGTTCTTTTACTTAAAGATTTTTCATAATTTTAATCTAACTCAAATGGCCAATTGTTCATGTTATTCCTAGTCTGGGACCCCTCTGTGATTTAGTATCTGGCTGTTCATAGACATTTTTCGTTCCTGTTTGGGTGACGTTTTGAACTTGAAAACTGATGATGACCTATGTTTTAAAAAGTCCCATATTGCTAATGTCTGAATCAGCAGTAAATACATAATTCTAATTTAGTCCAGTTTTGTTTGTTCATTCTACAGGTTTTCAAATTTCCCAGTGATTTGGTAGACTTGTTAGAACCATTTTTAAATACCAGCTCAGCCCTATTGTGTTAAAGATGACATCTGAAACCACAAATCATTTCACAGTGGTAACCAGAAGGCTTGACTTTAACAGTTAACAACCTGATATAAGGACTTGCGTTGACAAGCAGTTTGCCAACACATTATGATGTGATGACACATCCCTATCACCATCTAAAAACACTTTTCCCTGAACAATATTCTATAAACGAGCAGTCTGATTATTTTCTTAATGAATTAATGTATTTTAATCTTTGGAGGAATTTTTATTTATTTCTACTTAAGAAAACTACAGAACATATAATAATATGTTCTCATTAACCTTTCTGTGTTTTTTCTTTTGCGCTGATTATGTTCTTAAATGGAATGAGAAACTAGTAAAATACTAAAGTTGTTTGATAATAAACTTTATTTTTAAAGTTGAAAAATAGTGGCATGTATTTATTTTCATTTGTTATTAAAAATGTTTTTTTTAATGGGGGAGGTAATATTGTAATGATCCTCAGAAAAAGGCCCTCATTTTAGCCTTCATTTCATTTCCATAGACACTAGCATGGTATCCTATATGGTTGATGCTCAATTAATATATTCATTAAATTGATAGATAAAAAAGCTTCTTTTCTTCTAGTTTGAAGTAGTAACATTTCTACAAATATGTGAAAATCTATAAGAACAGTTAGCCTATTTGATTCTTTTTCTCCACTTTCAAATGTTTAATAAAATGTTATTTGTTTTCCAGCTTCTTAAGCACTTCTTATCTAATGAGATTTTAATATATTATGAAAATTTATTTGTAAAAACAAATGCTTTCTAATAAACTAACTTTTATAAGCTTAGTCGATGAATCAAACTTTTTTGGATAATTTTTCACTTAATCTCAAAATTAAATATTATGATACATGGAAGCAACTTAAAATAAATTATTGCTTTGCATTCCTGATTGAGCACCAATCTAATCTTGAACTCACTGGAAACAATCTATTTGAAAGGGTATATTTGGCTGTATTTTGTTTGGATAAAGGCATATAGTAAATTTCCCTCAAATGATCACATACATGTTGTAGGCTTTTCTGATTTTTCTCTAAGGCACTGGCTACTCTAGATTATAGGATTTTACTCATATGTTAGGATACCCATTTCGTACTCACCCTAAAGCTGTATTCATGCTCCTTCTCTTTGTCTTACTATGTTCCTGACCTGAGCAGCATTTTCTTTCTGACTCTTAGTCACTCAAATTAACCTGCATTTCCAATCATTTATTTAAAGAAGTCCAATAAATCCAAAGATCATGGCCTATATTGCTCTACCCATTTACTTCTGCAGGGGACCAAAGATGGCACTTTGATTTCACGGTACTGAATGTGTGATGTTCTGAAAGGAATAATAGGGTAGAGGCCCCTAGGACTATTTTCCTGATGGTTGGACCAAGATTACTTCTATTATTCAAACTTAAAAATTGAGAAACTTGAAATTGGCCTACTGCAGCCCTAGTTTTCTTGGGCACTCCCTGAGGTGTAGGAACCAAACAGCTCAGCTTTTAAGAAAATATCTGAGAATGGAAAGGGTGGAGGTCATAATTAGACAGGGACGGTGGTCAAGAACATTGAGTTTTGAGTTATTGGCCTAGGTTCAAATCCTGGTATCATTTATAAACTATATGACCGTATACAAGTATTTAACTTCTCAGTGTATCAGATTATTCATATGTAAAATGGAAAACAAGCTTTCTGACAGCACCTATGTGGCTGTTGTAAGGATTAAATGAGATAATGCCTTTTAAACCTAGAATGCAGTAATCCCTGTTTGTGCTAGCCATTACAGTTGTTCCGTTCCAATGTAATTCTTCTACCTCTGTCTGAATCTGTAGGGAATTTATGCAGGACTCCATATTTGTCGAGAGGTCATGCCAGTGTGTTTAAATTCCAACCATGGGGCTCAATCCTGCGGTTGTGCCGTAGCACCTCCAAGTCATCAAGCTTGGTTTTGGTCCAATATCGTGAACTTCAGGTAGACACAAGACATCTCTCTGTAGTTATTCTAGAGAAAATGCAGTTTATAATTTACCAGGCAGTAGTAAACATTCTAGAATCAGTACTAAGTTTCTCTTTATGGAAGTAAACATGCCATCTTGATACACTTATTATTCGAAGAAGCAAAAGTAGATACGTTCTTACAGAAGGCAAAAAAAAAAAAATTTTGCTAAGTGAAGTAAAAAATGTACTACTCTCTGCTTCTTCCCACAGTATCCATAAATATGCTGAGGCCGTTTATTTTGCCAGATGGGTTTTGAGACCCTGCTGAAACAAGAGATGCTCTCATTTATATTTCCCTCAAATTCTACCACAAACCACACTCGGGAGGGAAAAGAAAAAGTCGCCACGTAAGCATGTTTACCTTCAAGTGACTGGGAAGTGGAAACCTATCCATAAGTGATGACTCACCATTGCAGGCCTATAAAAGTAAAGGTAATCTCTGCGGAAAGACAACAGTCCCCAGGCATCACCATTCAAGATGCATCCAGGGGTCCTGGCTGCCTTCCTCTTCTTGAGCTGGACTCATTGTCGGGCCCTGCCCCTTCCCAGTGGTGGTGATGAAGATGATTTGTCTGAGGAAGACCTCCAGTTTGCAGAGGTAGAGTATCTTGCCAATCCTGATGATGCGGTTGGTACATCTCAGAAATGTCCTTCTCTTTTAAACGCAGTTCATTTTGGTGTCTTTTCTAGCGCTACCTGAGATCATACTACCATCCTACAAATCTCGCGGGAATCCTGAAGGAGAATGCAGCAAGCTCCATGACTGAGAGGCTCCGAGAAATGCAGTCTTTCTTCGGCTTAGAGGTGACTGGCAAACTTGACGATAACACCTTAGATGTCATGAAAAAGCCAAGATGCGGGGTTCCTGATGTGGGTGAATACAATGTTTTCCCTCGAACTCTTAAATGGTCCAAAATGAATTTAACCTACAGGTAAATCATAGGCTATCTTTCTTTCATATTTGTTAGCCTTTTCTTGTAGTATTAAATGTCTAATATTAAGTAGGCCTTATTATTTAATTGGCAGTTAAATTCCAGAATAGCTTTAATATGGTTGCCGAGAATACCTCATAACATCTATTATTGTTACATTAACTCAGCATTATTTTTTAGTGGGCATCTCAAAGTATTTCTTTTAGAGATGAAATCAAAAGAGAAATAAAAGTAGGTTAAAGAAAATTTGCAAACATAGTACATTAGGTGTATTTATTACAACAGTGCTCAAGATGAAGAGTTCCACTCTTTCTAGAAACTTTACAGAGCTATTTCATTTATTTGAGCTTTATCAATGTAATCTAAACTTTTAGCATGCAAAATAAATTATATTAAACATTGGAATATTTTAAATTTAAGATGCCACATGGTCAGATATTTGGAGATACTCAAATGTGGCTGAATTTTTGACTTTTTATTCTTGTATGGCATCATAATTAATACATTATTTGAAACAATAAACCTCTAGTAGAACTTTCAAAGAAATTATTGCATTTTGAATTGAAAAGCAATATACCAAGAAAATGTATTCTAAAATAGCTGTCACTTTCCAAAAAGTTCATTGAAACTTTCTCTGTTAAATAGAATTGTGAATTACACCCCTGATATGACTCATTCTGAAGTCGAAAAGGCATTCAAAAAAGCCTTCAAAGTTTGGTCCGATGTAACTCCTCTGAATTTTACCAGACTTCACGATGGCATTGCTGACATCATGATCTCTTTTGGAATTAAGGGTAATGATGCACATTTATTTTACAAACATTTTTATATTCTAATTCTTGGTTCCATTTTAAAATTATTTATTTCAGTCATTCATTACTTTTTAAAGAATTCAACACTAATTTACCAAACACCTGTGCTAAGTACTCCTGGATGTGATAAGACTCCTAACCCTTGCTTTTGTGTGTAGAGCATGGCGACTTCTACCCATTTGATGGGCCCTCTGGCCTGCTGGCTCATGCTTTTCCTCCTGGGCCAAATTATGGAGGAGATGCCCATTTTGATGATGATGAAACCTGGACAAGTAGTTCCAAAGGTAATGTTTCTTATAAAGATATCATTTATGTGTTATTAGATTAGACAGTGAACACACTAGTATGAAGTTAAAACACATAAAAGTTAAATATATTTGGTATTTGACTATATTTTCTTAAATAAAGTTTATCTTAGATGTATTAGTGTCTCTACAAGTGACATTTCTACAAATTGATATCAACATTAAAAAATGAACAAAATCTACTTAATCTGTCACTGTGGCTTGAGGGATACTAATGAACTTTGAAGTAGGACCAAAATGTTTATGTCTGTCAGCCAACATGTTATTACTGCAAATTACCTTTTGGCATGTTGAGGAAGTACAGTTTATTAGAAATATCTAACTAAAAACTACCAGGGCTGGATCTATGGGTCATACATGAATTAGATGTGAATTGAAATAGTTTTTTGCTTGGTAGAAATATGTTCAATCAAATTTCTGTTTCCCATTATATGAGTTGCTTGATTCAGTCTTGTCTATATATTGTAAACACTATTCTTAAAAACCTAGACAGACTCTTACTCCAAACAGCATGAAACAGACAAGATGATGGTTGTATTTACAAGAGCAAAATGAAACTGAATGTTGAATGAGATCAGTTAGTAGTTAAATCTTCAAGTCTCAAAATAATTGGGAATGTTAACTTAGGAAGAAAAGCCATAGATTGTTCTAACTAGGACTTAGTTATGACAAGTAGATGTTGTCTTCATAGACAGCTGAGTTTTATTTTTCATTTAAATAAAAAAGATTATTTCTCCAAAGAATAAAACTGGGCCTTACATGATCAGTGTCTCAAATCTAATACCTCCAATCTGTCTATGGAGGGAAAAGTGAAAATTTACATATTTATGTTCTGGGTATTTCACAGGTAAGAATGGTTTCAGGAAGAAGAAATAATATCCAGCATTGTTAAGGTAGAATCACAGTAAGCCTCAAATTTAGGTTCCTTTATAAATTCTGGGTTTGAAATATTTAATTGAAGTGAATAAAAACATCCACAAACAAGTCTGGATTCATTTTTCAGTGGAAGGCCAAGAGGGGTATCCATTACTAGTCATTCAGTGAAGAATTAGTTAACACTCAGATTATGTGACCTCTAATTGCTCTCATGGTCTGCAAGGTTTGCTAGGATGGTTCATTTTCTTCATGCACAGGCTACAATAGCAGAGGGTATTTAAGGTCAAATGGAATCCACTGGCTCTAGTTTTCAGGTAATCTAAGCACAGGTAACAACAATCCTATTGCCTTGCACTTCTTATTTTTCTTTTAGTTTTTTATTTTCTTTTTTCCAGTTTGAAATACCTGCATTAGGAGGCTCAAAATTGGCAGACAGAATGCTTAGAGGGAACAATGTAAATACAGTGACATAGTAGTCTTCTAGAGTAGAGAAAAGATGGCTAATCATGTCTAGAGTTTCTGTTTCTCCAGAACCCAGAGTCTAGAGACATTCTGGAAAAAATCATTTGGTTGGAATTTGCTCCCAAGAGTAAACACAGAGAACCTATTTAGTGCATCCTCCATCCTTGGTACCATCCCTTTGGATGCTGCCTCCTGATTGGAGGATGTTCTGGGCAGCACCCTAGCTAGGTACCACCCTATGTGATTTCCCCACTCCTCGTTTAAGGTAATCTCTGTCCACTTCCCTCACCTGACCTGAGAATACTAAGCGCAAATCAGGAGTTCTAATGTATTCACAGTAAATCCTTATTAATTACTAATTACATGAGAGTAATCTGTTGACATTCTAATTGTGTAGGCAGCTATAATCAAAAGAACACTAAATTATTTATAAGGATTAAATCAATACTTTGAATCTTCCTTCAAGCAACTGAATATTGATTTTAAAAAGTAGGAGACTGAAGAAAGAGAAAAGAAAGTATATAGCCAAGAAAGAAACATACCAGATAGATAAAATGATATTCCTTTCATTACCTGGTCACTGGAATTCCTTTTTTTCTCATTGTTTCTTTGTTTTCTTACAGGCTACAACTTGTTTCTTGTTGCTGCGCATGAGTTCGGCCACTCCTTAGGTCTTGACCACTCCAAGGACCCTGGAGCACTCATGTTTCCTATCTACACCTACACCGGCAAAAGCCACTTTATGCTTCCTGATGACGATGTACAAGGGATCCAGTCTCTCTATGGTAACTCGGTTATAGAAATAGAATATGATCAGTTATAAAAGCAGAAGAAACCCATGCATTTATTTTCTAAATTGCAGTCATGCTGCATAATAATGTTTTGGTACAGTGAAGCGCATGCATGACAAAGGTTTCATAATACTGTAATACAGTATTTTTAATGTACCTTTCTTATATTTAGATACACTTAATACTCACCATTGTGTTACATGTGCCTGCAGTACTCAGAACAGTAATATGCTGGACAGGTTTCTAGCCTAGGAGACATGGGCTGTTCCATATAGCCTATATCTGTAGTAGGTTATATATCTAGGTTTGTGTAAGTACACGCTACAATATTCACCCAATGACAAAATCTCCTAACAACACATTTTTCAGAATGTATCCCTGTTGTTAAGCAACACATGACTCTACTAATTGAATTCACCACTGCCAATGCTGCTTTCTTGGTTTTGTTGTTAAAACCTAGGAAAACATACCCATTTTTTCTTTCCAAATCTAACTACCCACTCAAATAGAAAAGATTTCATTCTCCAAATTTTTGCAGACTATAACTCCTCGTATTTGTACTTTATACATTGCAATGTGCATTTGATATCCTCCAAACACCTCTGCAATAAGAAAGAAAAATATTTTGTTCCCCATTTAACCAATGAAGAAACAAAGCCCTGTAGAGTTTAAGTAGCATACCTATAGTAACAAGGTTGGTGGTGAAAGTGAGATCCTAAGGCTTTTAGAAATTCCAAGTACTCTTTCAACCAGTCCAATCTGGCACAGTAGAAACCTCTCAAGTGGCCTGTGGTAGTTTTTAATCAACATCTACAGTAACCATTGTAAAAAAAAAATTCTTCCTTTTCACTTCCCCCCCCAAGTTTTCAATAATATTTACAAAATTATTAAACTTCAACCCAAGTATTTATTTATAGATGACCTGTTATAGAGTTAAAGCCACAGTACACAGTCATCAGTGTAAACACTTCTAGAGCACATAGCTCAGAAAACTTGCTCATAGCATCCAACCCATTCTTTTACCCTCTAGATTTCAATCTATCACAGTAGCTAGCATAGCCATGGGCATGAACTTGAAGATGGCAAAGGGAATTTGCAAATTTATTTTGCAATTATTATTTCTACATTGTTATGACTCAGGGACTGATGAAAGAACTAATAAAAACTAGACAGAAAGAAAAACAGTGTAGGATTATTATTATTATATACTGCACCCCCATCCTGTCTGCACTCATGGGAGACGGTTGGAAATTTACCAACATGTCGCAAGTCACATAAGTGCTGAAGGCCTGGTTTGTCACAGCTGAGATACAGCTGCACCATGGCAAACTGGTGAAGCAACATTAGCTGATGTTGACAGCTGGTAAAATAGTCAAGAGGAGGAGGCAAGATGAGGGCTTTTGCAGGAAAAATACGCCATCAAAAATGGCTTTAAGGGGAATCTAGTTTTCAAGAGCAATCTGTCAATAGATTGTGCAAGGTGTAGGGAAAATTTCTCAAATTCTGTTGCTTTTTTCCCTCCTTTTTATCATCAACCTCAAGAAACCTAAGTTTATACTTCTAAAGAATCTCGAGAGGTCTTGAAGGATGGAAGTGGAGGGGAGGAAGGAAGTAAGATTACACGGTACTTGCACCATGATGTAGGAGCCCCAGGACCTACAGCTTTTCCTGGAGAAACCCTCTCCCACTGTCCATCAGCAGATCAGCCTGTTGTACTGTGACTCAGGTTATCAGTAATGTCACACTCATAACTTCTCTCTTGCCTTTCACGACTACAGGTCCAGGAGATGAAGACCCCAACCCTAAACATCCAAAAACGCCAGACAAATGTGACCCTTCCTTATCCCTTGATGCCATTACCAGTCTCCGAGGAGAAACAATGATCTTTAAAGACAGGTACTCTTGAGATTCTTTCATAAAGTCTGTATGCGACAAACATCTGTGAAGCTGCTTCTGCATATTGCCAAAACATCCTGTCAGACTTCCAAAGGCGAAGTTAGCAGTAAAAATGGGCAGGCAGTTTATTTACATATTTCAGATCAAATAAATGACTGATGGATAAATGTTTTACTTTTCAACGTATAACCTTGACATTGTGTAGCTTCCTTTTACATCTCTAGTTACAGTCTTTCTTATAAATATAACCAAGAAAATCTAGAAATCCCATTTGTTTTAAAAACAGACAAGCATTGAAAGTAACTGCTGTATTAATAAATGGTTACTCGTTAGGCCCACACGGATTCGTTTTGGTATGGAAAGACTTTGATTCTAGATACATGTTGGAATTTGAGGGATGAAATGAAATGAACCCAGAAATGCAATATAAAATTTTAATTTCTACACTGTTCCAGTATGCTTGTTTATTCATTCATTCATTGATCCCTCATCTGTGATCCAATAGCATGTTTATCCCCTCTGTTATAACTCTAATTACATTGTACTCGTGGGGCGGGGGGTGTTTCTCATGTATGTTTTCCCAGGCCATGAGACCATGGAAGACATAGTTCATATAACTCATATCTTCTCTCTGGAGGCCAACACAATGCCTGGCACATTTGCTTGCCCCTGGCAAGATACCCAAAATTGAGCAAGACTGTTTCAACCTGCAAAGAACTCAGAGACCTCACACAGGCTCTGTGAGATTTCAAAGTTGAATACCTTACGCTAGTTAGGATAGCACAACTTGTCACTGGCGCTTAAAGGGTAATGGAATTTTTTTTCCCTTCACAGGTGGGAGGTATTGGTTGTATCTAACTTGTCTGTGTTGATGTGGAGAGAGGTGACTAGCAGGATAGAAATATTGCATTTAAAAATGTGACAGAAAACTCCATTTTACTTTTGTGTTAGATTCTTCTGGCGCCTGCATCCTCAGCAGGTTGATGCGGAGCTGTTTTTAACGAAATCATTTTGGCCAGAACTTCCCAACCGTATTGATGCTGCATATGAGCACCCTTCTCATGACCTCATCTTCATCTTCAGAGGTAAGCTTTCCACAGAGGAGTCCTCACACAAGACCAGGGGAGGCAGTGCTGAATTTGATGCCACTAGAGATTCAGTAAAATGATCACTACTGAAAATATACCTAAATTAAAGACCAAGTATTAAAAAAATGGAAGCCAGAAAGTACCTGAAACCATTCTACCATGAATCTCCAAATTGAACATATAAAAGGTCTACATTATTAGTCTTGTCATATCCACTCTTTCTTTCATATGAATCATGTCAGTTTTTTCTCTTAGTTCTGCTTAAAAATTGTTTATTGAGAAAACATTATACCAATATATTCTGAAAAAGTGGAAAAAATATTATGAATCATTCTTCCTTCTGAAAACTCAGTTTATTTCATTTGCTCATTTTCATTATGTAATACAAATTTTTACATATTTATTTTCATAGTATAGATACATTTTTATATTCTACTGCTTTCCTTGACATAAAATTATGACCAATTTCCAAATTGCTACTTTATCTTTATGACCATAATTTAAAATGATTACATAACTTCCTGCTGACACTGTTTGTATTGTTCAACTATTTATAATATTAATGTTATAATAAAGCTACTTTTTAGAGAATAAAATAACTTTCAAACTGGTGTAACGTTTGAGTTTTCAGTCTAATTTACTCTTCCTACTGTGTTGTTTGTTCATGTACAAATTTTAATGTATTTTTTCCACCTAGCTTTAAACTTAATATTCAGAGCTAATAAATTGCCAAGTTAACTGTGATATTTGATTAGCTATATTCATAATTGGGAAGTTAAGATCCTAAATTTTATTTTTTTGTTTCAAGAATGCTTATATTTTTATGTTTCATAAACATGATGACTGTAAATACTAAATATTTTATTAATATTTCTCAATGTAAAAGTGGGCCTGTCTTTAAGCACATGTCTATATATGTAAGTCCTAATAGATTCCCTTGGATAATAGAACTGTTATTTCACTCATTCCAGGTAGAAAATTTTGGGCTCTTAATGGTTATGACATTCTGGAAGGTTATCCCAAAAAAATATCTGAACTGGGTCTTCCAAAAGAAGTTAAGAAGATAAGTGCAGCTGTTCACTTTGAGGATACAGGCAAGACTCTCCTGTTCTCAGGAAACCAGGTCTGGAGGTATGGCAGCAGTAGGTACTGACCCATCTGTGTCATAGCCGCAAAGTGCCTCAAACATCTGTCACTACTATACATTATTCCTACACACTATTGTAAATGTCATACTAGTCATTCATTTTCATTCCATGTCAGCTCTTTCAGGCAGACCCTCAGACATGTATTTAAAAGTCTCAAGCTCTCTTGAACACACACACACACACACACACACACACACACACACACAATACTCAAACATTCCTCTTCTCAAACATTCTTTTCTTAGCCATTTGTTGTGCCTCTCAACCATCTTTGGCACCCCCTCTTTCTTTCTTTTTTTTTGAGACTGAGTCTTGCTCTGTTATCCAGGCTTGAGTGTAGTGGCATGATCTTGGCTCACTGTAACCTCTGCCTCCTGTATTGAAGCAATTCTCATGTCTTGTGTCTCAGTCTCCCAAGAAGCTGGGATTACAGGCATGTGCCACTACACCCAACTAATTTTTGTATTTTTAGTAGAGACGGGGTTTTGCCACACTGGTCAGGCTCCTGGCTTCCAGCAATCCACCTGCCTCAGCCTCCCAAAATGGTGGAATTACAGTCGTGAGCCACCACACCCAATTGGCACCTTCTCTTTCTAATCTTTCTCCTGTATTCTCTTTCTTGTCACTTTCTCCTAATTTACATGTAGCTCCATCTTCCGTGGCCAAAGAGGATACCAGCATGAGTACAGGAAAAGATTGGTTTAGAGAAGGCCCTCCTATCTGCAGAGTTAGCTGATCCACTGGAGAGGTTGACCAGGAAGCTGACAGGCCCATAGTTTATAAAGTGAAACTTTCTGAAGGGCGAGTGAAGCTGGAATGTTTAAAACACATGTAAAGATTTAGGCAGCATTGACATCAACAACATTTAAGAGTCCAGATTCAAGTCTATATTTGGGAATGGGAATATCTCATCAGTACCCTACATTCTAAATGTTTAAAGTGGAAACTTTCCTCCATCTCTACATACACACAGTCTCACACACACACATGCATACCCGCACACACGCACATACCTGTATATATCATCTTTGCCTTTTGACTTATTTCTGACAATGACATTTACAACATTCTAGAAATCACTGCCAGCTTCTACCAGGTACCGCATTTCATTCCCTACCTCCATAAGAAGTATATTGTTCAGTCAGGATTAATTGCTTACTGCATCTCAGATATGCTGTTTTTTATATCCCCTTAAGCTTCTCTTAGGCAATTTTTTTTTGCCAGAAGATCCTTCCCTGCATCTCTCCCTCTTGAAATTCTATCCATTGTTTAAAGTTCATTCGAAATATCTTTTCATCTACAAAGCCTCTTTTGATTTCCCCATTCAGGGGTTATTGCCCGGCTTCCTGTACTCCCATGACATTTCATGATTACTCTCTCATGCTTGACTTCTATTGCCTGGCGTTGCAGTTATGTGTATACACATGCCTTAGCTTTATTGGTAGTTTAGTGGTTCTTATCTTTTACTTGTTGGAACATACCTCCAAGATATTCAAAAAGCTCTCATCAGTAACAGTAGTGGCACCTTATGGGAGCCTGTTTTCCTAGGTTAATTTTAGGATATGTTTGCCTGGTTAGGGTGTGGCTGTGGGCAGGGGAGAAGGAGCTTGAAATATGCAGTTATGGAGGGGGAAAGCTATGCTTCCCTTCCTACCTTTAGTATTACCATATGCCCCTACAACTTTTTAGTACAGAAATTAAACCTTAAATATTTTTGTAGCCATTACTGTACACTAAGTAAGTGCAAGTAAGTGCAAGTTGTCTTACACATAGTGAGAGATCAACAGCTAATTGTTCTATGCACAAACATGCATTTATTTCATGCTTAAGAACATGTTCCTAATGACATACTTTTATAACAGATATATCATTTGTGAAATGGAAATGAGCTTGTAACTCTCTTTAAAAAGATGGCCTTTGGGCAAGTCAACAAATACTCGTCAAGCATCCACTGTACACTCAGTATTCTCATTCCTAATTTTAAAAAGCTACCAGATGCTTTAAATGGACTGAAAATTTTAAAATTCTTGTCAATTTTGAAAGATGCCATTGTATCTATTGTATTATTTCTAAGGTACTTTCTAAGAAATATAACTGACTTAGGAGTTTTTTTTCTTTAAATAGATATGATGATACTAACCATATTATGGATAAAGACTATCCGAGACTAATAGAAGAAGACTTCCCAGGAATTGGTGATAAAGTAGATGCTGTCTATGAGAAAAATGGTAAGTAGTTACATTGCACTGACTTTAAAGAGGAGCTTCTGTAGCCCCTCAAAACTCTTTTCTGTACAAAGCATTTTTATATAGGACCTAGATGTGTTAATAAATGTATGGCAGTTAAGGAATTAATTGTTCCTGTGTGACTACCTACAAAGACAGCAAACCAAAAAAAACATGGTTAGAATAAATAAGAATTTTACTTAATGATTGCTAATTCTATAAATACGAGATGCTAAACCTTCAACATTACCTTAATCTATGCTTAAAGATGCCAAAATGCAAGGATATTGCCAGAATTCAAACTGGCTGTGGAGTGGGAAGTAATTTATATATAAAGACTCATAACTACCTTAACTATATAGTGACTTTTTACTTTAATTATGTTCTCAACCTTTTTTTTTTTTTTTGACAGAGTCTCACTCTGTCACCCAGGCTGGAGTTCATTGTCGCAATCTGAGCTCGCTGCAACCTCCGCCTCCTGGGTTCAAGAGATTCTCCTGCCTCAGCCTCTGGAGTAGCTGGGATTACAGGTGCCTGCCACCATGCCTGGCTGATTTTTGCATTTTTAGTAGAGATGGAGTTTCGCCATGTTGGCTAGGCTGGTCTTGAACTCCTGGCCTCAAGCGATTCACCCGCCTCGGCCTCCCAAAGTGCTCAGATTACAGGCCTGACCTCACCGACCTCCTTTAACTATGAAAAGAGATATTATTGATAACTTATAACAAATAGGCTGGGTGCGGTGGCTCATGCCTGCAATCTGAGCACTTTGGGAAGCTGAGGTGGGCGGATCACTTGAGGTCAGGAGTTCAAGACCAGCCTGACCAACATGGCGAAACCCCATCTCTACTAAAAATCCAAAAAAAAAAAAAAAAAAAAAGCTGGGAGTGGTGGCATGCACCTGTAATCCCAGCTAGTCAGGAGGCTGAGGCAGGAGAATCACTTGAACTTAGGAGTCAGAGGTTGCAGTGAGCCAAGATCACTGCCACTGCACTCTAGCCTGGATGACAGAGTGAGACTCTGTCTCATATACGCACACAAAAATCGATAATCCAAGTAGCAAAACTGTGTAGGAGGATTCACACCTTAAAAGAACAACTAAAAAATAAAAATAAAAAAATAAAAAATTTAAAAAGGAACAACTATTAAAGAACTAATAGAGTTTAAAAAGAAAAAGTTTGAAATTCCTACAAATGGGATCTAAGAGATTGAACCATTAATATTAACTGGATTAAAACCTTATTATTTTCAAACTCTGAAATTGTCTTTATGCTTTTTCTTATAGGTTATATCTATTTTTTCAACGGACCCATACAGTTTGAATACAGCATCTGGAGTAACCGTATTGTTCGCGTCATGCCAGCAAATTCCATTTTGTGGTGTTAAGTGTCTTTTTAAAAATTGTTATTTAAATCCTGAAGAGCATTTGGGGTAATACTTCCAGAAGTGCGGGGTAGGGGAAGAAGAGCTATCAGGAGAAAGCTTGGTTCTGTGAACAAGCTTCAGTAAGTTATCTTTGAATATGTAGTATCTATATGACTATGCGTGGCTGGAACCACATTGAAGAATGTTAGAGTAATGAAATGGAGGATCTCTAAAGAGCATCTGATTCTTGTTGCTGTACAAAAGCAATGGTTGATGATACTTCCCACACCACAAATGGGACACATGGTCTGTCAATGAGAGCATAATTTAAAAATATATTTATAAGGAAATTTTACAAGGGCATAAAGTAAATACATGCATATAATGAATAAATCATTCTTACTAAAAAGTATAAAATAGTATGAAAATGGAAATTTGGGAGAGCCATACATAAAAGAAATAAACCAAAGGAAAATGTCTGTAATAATAGACTGTAACTTCCAAATAAATAATTTTCATTTTGCACTGAGGATATTCAGATGTATGTGCCCTTCTTCACACAGACACTAACGAAATATCAAAGTCATTAAAGACAGGAGACAAAAGAGCAGTGGTAAGAATAGTAGATGTGGCCTTTGAATTCTGTTTAATTTTCACTTTTGGCAATGACTCAAAGTCTGCTCTCATATAAGACAAATATTCCTTTGCATATTATAAAGGATAAAGAAGGATGATGTCTTTTTATTAAAATATTTCAGGTTCTTCAGAAGTCACACATTACAAAGTTAAAATTGTTATCAAAATAGTCTAAGGCCATGGCATCCCTTTTTCATAAATTATTTGATTATTTAAGACTAAAAGTTGCATTTTAACCCTATTTTACCTAGCTAATTATTTAATTGTCCAGTTTGTCTTGGATATATAGGCTATTTTCTAAAGACTTGTATAGCATGAAATAAAATATATCTTATAAAGTGGAAGTATGTATATTAAAAAAGAGACATCCAAATTTTTTTTTAAAGCAGTCTACTAGATTGTGATCCCTTGAGATATGGAAGGATGCCTTTTTTTCTCTGCATTTAAAAAAATCCCCCAGCACTTCCCACAGTGCCTATTGATACTTGGGGAGGGTGCTTGGCACTTATTGAATATATGATCGGCCATCAAGGGAAGAACTATTGTGCTCAGAGACACTGTTGATAAAAACTCAGGCAAAGAAAATGAAATGCATATTTGCAAAGTGTATTAGGAAGTGTTTATGTTGTTTATAATAAAAATATATTTTCAACAGACAATTGCTATATGGTACATTGTCTTTAGGTATAATTTCAATCTTTCCTCACCCAAAGAGGGTTCATTGCCAATATTTTTATTTTTGGAGACAGAGTCTCTCTCAGTTGCCCAGGCTTGAATGCAGTGGTGTGATTCCAGCTCACTGCAACCTCCACTTCCCGAGTTCAGGCAATTCTCCTGCCTCAGCCTCCCAAGTAGCTGGGATTACAGGTGAGCGCCACCATGCCCGGCTAGTTTTTGTATTTTTAATAGAGATGGGGTTTCACCATATTGGCCAGGTAGTCTTGAATTCCTGATCTCAGGTGATCTGCCTGCCTCAGCTTCCCAAAGTCCTGGGATTACAGGTGTGGGCCACTGCACTGGACCCTTCTTTTTTTTTCTTTTTAAGAAAAGATGTTTAGGCCAGGTTCAGTGGCTCATGTTTGCACTCCCAGCACTTTGGGAGACCAATTGTTTGGGCCCAGGATTTCAAGATCAGCCTGGGCACCATGGTGAAACACAGTCTCTACAAAAACAAAACAAAACAAAACAAAAAAAAAACAAATTAGCTGGGGGTGGTGGTATGTGCCTGTAGTCTCAGCTACTAGGGAGGCTAAGGTGGGAGGACTACACGAGGCAGGGAGAGGTCAAGGCTGCAGTGAAATGTGATCACACCACTGCACTCCAGCCTGGGTGACAGAGCAAGACCTAGTCGAAGAAGAAGGAGAAGGAGAAGAAGCCAGGTCCCAGCTACTCAGTAGGCTGAGGCAAGAGGATCACCTGAGCCCAGGAGGTTGAGGCTGCAGTTAGCTATGCTTACACCACTGCACTCCATCCTGGGTGATAGAGTGAGACCCCGTCTCAAAAAATAAACAAACAAAAATAGAAAAGATGTTTCACTTGATTTCAGAAACATTTTCCCTATGTTTAACCATTTTCTTTCATGATACTTCTCTCTCATGGATAGACAGACAGACAGACAGATATACATAAAGATATATAGATATAAAGATATACATAAAGGTATATAGAAAATATATATAGTCAAGATTGTTTCCTGACTTCCACCTTTACTCCAGTCTCAATTCAAAATTCCAAATCCAATTGGTGTTACCTTGATGAGTGTCCTTCCACAGTAACCAAAGCATCGAATTCAAATTATAGCAAATGTCTATTTGGAGTTTACCACTGGTGATAGGGGTAGCATTAAAGAGAGCTGATTATGAACTGAGCAGATGGTCCTAATAGAATCTTCTATGAAATAGGTTACAGGTAAAATACAGATAGCCAGTTTGTATAGATATTCACGAATGGGGTTGAGAAGACCAAATGAATGTTTTATGAGAAGTAATATTATATTCACAAATTAAAGTGAGAGTGCATTTACCTAGAGCTAATGTACTAGGCAAATGCACTGCCTTAAAATTGAATTGTAGCTAGTAATGGCCTCTTCATCAGATAATAAGGGTAAAAGGTTTGAAAAACTCCTCAAAGTGAACCAATAGCATACTTGTATTTGGAATAGGAGAAACTGACAAGATCTTATATTGGTGTAACAAATTTTGCTCTTGGAATTATCCTGGGAGAACTTTTGTATTAAAGCAAAAATATTGTCCTGGATTTCCATATCCTCATGTCAGAATAAAAACACGAAAACATATATAACAGAAAGATAGCCACCATAAAAGCTACCAAGTTTAACTCACTTCCCGTTTAGAAAAAAAAGTGCAGCTCTCTGCACGCACAGTTTTCTCGGAGCCAACAGGAGTGGATTAAGCCCTGGTCACAGAAAATACCTTGATTTACGGATTCATCACGACGCTGTGAGATTTACAATACTTCCACTAGGTGGCACCAGCAACACCCTTTTTAAAAAGGTTGAACTGGTCAGAGAATTCAATTAAGTCACAAAACCAGTGCTTTGTTCTTTAACATAAGGTTGAGGAACTTAGCCACATCGCTGATTGTTTAACTCCTGACTTTACATTACTGACTTTCAAGTAAGATTTAATAGCTATGGAATTCAAGAACAGCTTGCTCCAGGTTTCTTAGTTTTTGTATATGAGTTCCCCTCACTGATCTCTCAGAGGTGAGTCGGAATTCTGTGTCATCCTGACTTGGTGGCTTGATGAAGCCACCAAGACCTGAAGCATGCACCCCTTAGAGCTAGGGCTTGTGAGTCATCTCAGGCCCCTGGGTGACAGACTCCAACGTGAACTACAAAATGCACAATCTACACAACCAATAGAATCAGCACTCCAAAGAGAAAACAAACCAGCACTGTTCTGGCACCAAGAGGGAGGAAAACCCAAACTACCAGGCATGATAAATTTTGTTTTCTAAATAAAAAAGTGGGCCGGGCACGGTGGCTCACGCGTGTAATCCCAGCACTTCTGGAGGCTGAGACAGGTGGATCACCTGAGGTCAGGAGTTGGAGACCAGCCTGACCAACATGGTGAAACCCCGTCTCTACTAAAAATACAAAAATTAGCCAGGCGTGGTGGCGGGCACCTGTAATCCCAGCTACTTGGGAGGCTGAGGCAGGAGAATCGCTTGAATCCGGGAGGTTGAGATTACCAACCAAAAAAGTGAACAATTGCTTATTACCTGAGGACAATGGCGAGTTTAGAGGAAGAAAGGCTTTACAGTTTCCGAAGTTTCTTTCTCACATGGTTTAGTTTTTCTAATTTTTTGGACTTTTATCTGCCTGGTATATTGAAGTATGCGAAATGCTGATTTAAGACTCCTTGATTTTGTTCTACCTCACTGCTTACAAGACACTCAGATTGAACTGCAGCTAATAATGATCTCTGGAAAATAAAAAATGTGCTGAGTTTATAGCAACAGCATGGCCATTTTTGTAAGAGTTTATCATGATGTCTTAATTGACCTGAATTGCCAAAACTGCCAGAGGTGTGTGAACCAGAGCAACTCCATCTTAAATAGGAGCTGGGTAAAACAACGCTGAAATCTACTGGGCTGCATTCCCAGACCGTTAAGGTCTTCTACGTCACAGGATGAGATAGGAGGTCGGCACAAAATACAGGTCATAAAGACCTTGCTGATAAAACAGATTGCAGTAAAGGAGCTGGCTAAAACCCACCAAAACCAAAATGGCGATGAGAGTGACCTCTGGTCATCCTCACTGCTACACTCCCACCAGCGCCGTGACAGTTTACAAATGCCATGGCAACATCAGGAAGTTACCCTATGTGGTCTAAAAAGGGGAGGCATGAATAATCCACCCCTTGTTTAGCATATCAGCAAGAAATAACCATATAAATGGGCAACCAGAAGCCCTTGGGACTGCTCTATGGAGTAGCCATTCTTTTATTCCTTTACTTTCTTAATAAACTTGCTTTTACTTTGCACTGCAGACTCACCCTGAATTCTTTCTTGCGTGAGATCCAAGGACCCTCTCTTGGGGTCTGGATCGGGACCCCTTTCCTGTAACAAAACTATACCCTAAAATTAGGTTCTGTGAGAAGGAAAATTTCTCTTTCATACATGAGCCCGAATAGGTAAAATTCTATTGCATAAATGCTATCTGAGTTGTACACACATGGAGAAACACATACAAGTATATGCAAAATTCATTGTAACCCACTCTAGAATTACTCATTCAATAACGTCATCACACATCAACTGGGCAAGGAACAATTGTACGTACACGATATTGAGAGAATTCTGTCTCTTAAATTTTGATTGCAATGAAACTGGACTTACTATCCAAATCCACCTGTTATGCCTTACAGTTTTTTATAAGTGAAGATAGTGACACTCTTTTTTCATAATTTATGCAGGATTAAAGGACATTGCACAAGCATCCTTATCTGTGTTCCATCTTTTGTGCTTATCTGTGTCCCATCTCTTGCGCCAAAAATATGTAAAATTAGCAACTAAAAAGGTTTATTTATTTTTTGTTTACTTGTTTTAAAATGGTTACATATACCAATAGCCTTCCTTTTCTGGACAATCTTCTCTTTCCTTTATTAGACTGGGCACTAAAAGCCTGTACAGGTCACAAGCAAAACCATTCATGAGGCCCTTCCAATTCTATCTAAAAAGGAGTGTTGTATTCTGGAGTTAAGAGCATCTGCCTTTCTGGGTTGTATCCTTTGGCCAGCTCGTGCCTCGGCTCAGTGAGTGCTCAGGGCCTTGTGGATTTGCTTCCAAAACAACGCAAGGAAAAAGAAGTCTGAGTTGTGTTTCTGAGCACATGGGGTACAATGTGTACACTAGTGCTGGCTCAGTTTTTGGCCAACTCTAGTTCTGAGTATTGTGAGCTGAGCAGAGGGCTGGGACACAGCATCAACTGTGCCTCCAGCCACATCCTTTTCTGAACCCATTTATAAGGCTTTATCCCTTAATAAATAAGATATCTCCTAAATACTTGCATTCCTAATTTCATAGGAAACATCTAAATTGTTTTATGGTTTGAATAACAGCAAGATAAGATACAGGTTAAGGAAGCAGAATCTCAAGGAAGTGAAATAATGGGCAATATTTTGCAGTCATCGTAATGGAAGTCAGATACTTGGCAACAAAAATTACCCAGGCATTATGTGGGATTAACTGGAATATGAATTAAGGGCTCAGAGCTATTTTATGAGAAATGCACTGTACACTCTGTATATGAAATATGCTTCTACTTGGTATTTACTTTTAAAACATTTCCTGAAATCTTTCAATGGGGCAGCTTTGGGGACTAGAGAAATATGGCAATATTGTGTGTCCTGTGTTTACATAAGATACAAAAATTTAGAGAAACGTATTAGATCATCTGATTTCAATTCCTTCAGTTTACAAATAAAAATCTGGGGCCAAGAGAGAGGAAATGATCCTTTCAAGAGCATACAATAATGCTGAAGACTAGGCCACAAACATCATCCACTTTTCTCCTTCTATCTTGTTAACTCCTCTACTCTCTTCCACAGGCCAGGGCACAGATTGTCTATCAGGGGGCATGAAATGTAATTCTACTGGAATGATACCACTAGCCTGATGGCATCCATGTCCCAGAGTCAAGGGAAGCTGAGCTGATGTCTCTATATTATCTTGGATGCTCAGCCTTTGCTGACCATCTTCTCCCCACTGCTGAGGCTGCTTGACCATGACTGACCTTAGTCAAAAGAGATTGAGGGAGTTGAAACTCAGGTGTCTGCAGCTCAATGAAAAATCCTTGCCAGAACAACTTTGACTTTGTATCTAGTTTTGAAAACTGGGTTTCTGTGTTTTCCCCAAGACTGAGTCCCCACTTTTGCTACAGCATAGAAAACTGGATCTCTCCATTATCCTCTATGCCAGAGTCTCGGCTTTTTATTTTTATTTTATTTTTAACTCTTATCTTAGATTCAAGGGTACATGTGCAGGTTTGTTGTATAGGTAAACTTGTCTCACGGGGGTTTGTTCAGATTATTTAGTCACCTGGGTACTAAGCTTAGTACCCAACAGTTACCTTTTCTGATCCTCTCCCTCCTCCCACCCTCCTCCCTCAAGTAGGCCCCAGTGTCTGTTGTTCCCCTTTTTGTGTCCGTGTGTTCTCATCATTTAGCTCCCACTTATAAGGAGAACATATGGTATTTGTTTTTTGGTTCCTGTGTTCGTTCATTTGCTAAGGATAATGGCCTCCAACTCCAACCATATTCCTGCAAAGGACATGAGTTTGTTCTTTTTTATGGCTGCATAGTATTCCACGGTGTATACGTACCACATTTTCTTTATCCAATCTACCACTGCTGGGCATTTAGGTTGATTTCATGTCTTTGCAATAGTGACTGGTGCTGCAATGAACATAATGTGTGCCTTTGTCTTTGTGGTAGAATGATTTATATTCATTTGGGTATATACCCAGTAATGAGATTTTGGGGTCAAACGGTAGTTCTGTTTTTAATTCTCTGAGAATTGCCAAACTGCTTTCCACAATGGTTGAATGAATTCGCACTCCCACCCACAGTGTATAAGTGTTTCCTTTTCTCCACAACCTTGCCAGCATCTGTTATTTTCTGACATTTTGCTGATAGCCATTCTTACTGATGTGAGATGGTATCTCACTGTGGTTTGATTTGCATTTCTCTAATGATTAGTGATATTGAGCTATTTTCATATACTTCTTGCCTGCATACATGTCTTCTTTTCAAAAGTGTTTGTGTTCTTTGCTCACCTTTTAATGGGGTTGTTTGGTTTTTGCTTGTAAATTGGTTTATGTTCCTTATAGATGTGGGATATTAGAGTCTCTGCTTTTTAAATACTCTTTTCCCAGTGGATACTTTTTTTTTACAGACAGGAATCTTGCTATGTTGCCCAGGCTAGAGTGTCATGGCTATTCACAGATGCAATCATTATGCGCTACAGCCTCGAACACCTGGGCTCAAGCAAACCTCCTGCCCTCAGTCTCTTGAGTAGTTGGGACTACAGGCACCTGCTATTGTGCCTACCTTCTTTCCGTTTGGTTGACGTGAGGGGCTCAAGTTCTGGTTCCTGCCAGAGGTTGTGTCCCACTATTTATGGATGAGAGGCTGGCCTCTGCCTTTAGTGAAGACATAAATATTGAGACAAATACATACAACAATCTTACATTTTACACTATTTCACACAGCTTATAGTTTTCCTCTCCCTTTTGCCTTTAGCCATAAAGTTGACTTCTTTCTTCAGAAAGAAAATAGCTGTCAGCCGGGCATGGTGGTTCATGCCTATAATCCCAGACATTTGAAAGGCTGAGGCAGGTGGATTGCCTGCAGGAGTTTGAGACCAGTCTGGCCAACATGGGTTTAGTAGAAACCCTGTCTCTAATAAAAATACAAAAATAAGCTGGGAATGATGGTGGCACCTGTAATCCCAGCTGCTCAGGAGGCTGAGGCAGGAGAATCACTTGAACCAAGGAGGCAGAGGTTGCAGTGAGCTGAGATCATGTCATTGTACTCCAGCCTGGCTGACAAGAGCGAGACTCCATCTCGCTCTTCCCCCACCCCAAAAATAGCTGTCAACTGCAAAGACCTGCACCCCCACTCACATGAGTGCACACCCTATAGCGTTGCTTGAGACATTGTCAGAATAAATGCCAATCCCAACCTTTATTCTTCCAGCTCCCTCACTGTCATCTCCTGCAACAATACATGTTCTTTGACCTCCTCAAGGCCACCTTTACCAGAGTCCAGGTCTGTCCCTGACACTTATGAGGCCCCTCCTCTGGGCTGGTTCTTCTCTTCCGATCCCTGGCTTTGCTCTGCATTGCAAGGGACTTTAGGTGCAAGGGTATGGACATGCCACCTATAGGTCCCTCCACATCTGCTGACCCGGTAGTCCATTGGCCACCACTAGGGGTGTGCACATCATTGAGGGGTTCCACCCTTGGGAGAATGAGCCTGTGGAAGAGGCCCACTGAGGCGTTGGAAGTAGGAAATTCAGGGGACCTGTGGTCTAGAGCAGCCCTGTCTAAGAGAACTATAGCACAAGTCACATGCAGAAGTCTACATTTTCTAGTGACCACATTAAAAGCAGTAAAAAGGAATAGGTAAAATGAACTTAAATGATATATTTTATCTTTTTTTTTTTTTTGAGACAGAGTCTCATTCTGTCACCCAGGCTGGAGTACAGTGGCATGATCTCGGCTCACTGCAACCTCCACCTCCTGGGTTCAAGCGATTCTTCTGCCTCAGCCTCCTGAATAGCTGGGATTACAGGTGTGCACTATCACACCCAGCTAATTTTTGTATTTTTAGTAGAGATGGGGTTTCACCATGTTGGCCAGGCTGGCCTCGAACTCCTGACCTCAGGTGATCCACCTGCCTTGGCCTCCCAAAGTCCCGGGATTACAGGCGTGAGCCACCATGCTCAGCTAATGAAGATTTTTTAAAAAGATGGTTTTACCTCCTGTTTCTCACATAAAGTCTTCAAAATCTGGTGTGTGTTTCATCCTTAACAGCATATCTGAATTCTGACCAGCCACATTTCCAGTGCTCAGTAGCTACCCGTAGCTACAGAAAGGGACAGTATAGGAAATGGGTGGGTACAGGCATCTGAAGGCACATCCCTGAACCTGCAGAGAACTGCAGCCTGGGGAGAGCAAAGCAGGCCCAAATACAGGGTGGCGCTGTCACCTTTTCTAAATCTAATAGCCTCCTTTTGTCTCACTGTATTCTAAATCTACCCCAGACCTCTCGACAACAGTCCTGCTCCTTTGCCCTTTTCACCACTCCAGCCTACCAACACTTCTATTTCCTTTCAAAATGAGGAACGTGGAGGAGTTGTTGGAGGAAAACACAAAGCTGTTGGAATCTGAAGTCTCCACCTTCAGGAGTATTGGATTTTATTTTTTTATTCTTTATTCTTTATTTTTATTTTTTGGGGGTGGGGATGGAGTCTTGCTCTGTCACCCACGCTGGAGTGCAGTGGCGCGATCTCGGCTCACTGCAACCTCCGCCTTCCAGGTTCAAGCATTCTCCTGCCTCAGCCTCCCGAGTAGCTGGGACTACAGGCGCATGCCACTGTGACCGGCTAATTTTTGTCTTTTTAGTAGAAATGGGGTTTCACCATTTTGGTCAGGTTTGTCTTGAACTCCTGAGCTCAAGTGATCCACCCGCCTCAGCCTCCCAAAGTGCTGAGATTACAGGTGTGAGCCACCACACCTAGCCAGGAGTATTGGTTTGATGATGAGGATGGTCCTGGGTGGCTGCAGTAAAGAAATTGGAGCCAATGTGATAATACAGACAATAAATTATCTATAAAACATTATGTAAATCAGCCTCAAGGCAGTTCTTAACCTGCTCCCAGAAGAATGATGTGAAACACTGAAGAAACTAAGTAGCCCCTCCAAGTCTCAGTTTCTAAAATATGGCTGATAATAGTAACAAACATGTATACTTTTCTATGTGCCAGGGATGTTTACATGCTTCACATACATTAATTAACTTATTGTCACAAAAGTTCTATTTTTGTTCTTATGAGTGAGGAAGAAAGCACAGAGAGGTGAAGAGACTTGCCCTAGGTCACACAACCAGTATGTGGAAGAACTGGGATTTGAACCCAGCCATTCTACCTCTAGAACTATGCACTAAACTGAAAGAATGGATCTACAGCACTTAGCAGACTCCTTGGCACATAGCAAGTGCTCAGTAAGTCATAGCTGCTACTTCCTCAATCCTGAAGATGGCGGTAAAAGTGGGTCATGTGTGGTAGAGGTATGGGTGAGAGGTCTCACGAAATCACACACAAACCTCACCCTCAACACCAGTATCTGAAGTCATTCTTTCAGGTTTACAGCAGTGGTCCTCAAGTACTTCCTCTGTCTGTACAACCTCAGGGCCACTTCTCAGTTTAGTCAAATAATTAAGTGTTCGTATATCTACTGTGTATTTTTGAGGACATAAAGTTCTGTTTTAAAAATTCAAAAAAAAATCTAGAATTAAAACTAAAAACATGAATCATGGTTTTTTTTATTTGCAACTAATAAGTCTTGCCTCCCTTCATTTGGTTCTGGACAAACAGAGGGTCCTTCCTCGATGGGTGGTGGAATCAGAAGATCCTTCTGCCCTTTGTGAAGACCATTCGACCTTTTAGCCAACTACTGAACTATCCACACTAATGGTGATTATTGGCATGGGAATATGGTGGCTTAGGAAACAGGAACAAATGCCCAAGAAAAGATGCATTATTATTGGTCCACAGAATAAAGTTTAAGCTTTGTTTGAGGAAACAGTTTTTCTTTTACTAGATATCTTAGTTAGGCTAGTTTTAAAATTCATCTGTATTTCCTGAGCATATACAAAGCCAAGGGGGAACGACCCAGTGGTTTCTAAAATACAAAGAATATTAGCCAGTCATCAGGAATTTCTCTCAGGGAAAGGTGAAGACCAGATGGGATGATGGAAGCACTGTACTTGGGACATAAAACATCTGAGACTAAAATCTTGCTGGATCCTCAAGTGGGCACAGACAAAAAGTGTCGACATCCAATGCTTCCCTGAACCTATTTACTCCCATACTTACACAACTTGGCCATGCCATATGACCCAGTCAGCTGAAGTACAAGGTAGTCATTTTTTCCAAACATATGCCTGCCTTTATTTCTACATCAGTAATTGAATCAACTCTGAGGATTCATAGAGTTGCTGAAAACACCAAATCCTCTTGAGCCTTAACCCATTCTTTTAAAACCACGTGGAGTGTATGTAGTCATTCCACAGACAGCACATCGACATGGCCATACCCTTAGATCACTGAAACGTGTCTCACGCTATCCGGAGGATATGTTCATATCTCTCTGCCAGCTCCAGTAGTAACTGACAGTTGATGCTATCAACTCCCAATTCCTCCTCGAGAAAAGGAAGAAGATACTTTAAGGTGTTCCCTTCAGTGGTATAGTCATTGATGATTCTTTACTTAGTGAAGAAGGATTAAGACTTTGGACCTGGGGGTAAAAACACACCCTGTAGAAGCATAGTTTTATACCAGCTGAATGTATGTTACTGAACATGAAATCACAATCATCAGAATTGAGTCAAGTTTGAGAAGGCTCTCTGTATATCCCCTCTAGGCTAATTCCCATAGCTGGAGCTCTCAGGAGGTGGGCAAGCTACCATTAATAAAACTGTCGTCCAAATTTCTTAAAATAAAATTTAACTCTGAGTTTTTGTTCATTCCTTCCTAATTCACTAGGGATAGCAATACTGTGTATATAGCAAGTCAATTCTGATTACTGAGGTTGTTGGTATATTTCTCAGGGAGGAACTAAAATTAGGTTTAGGTTTAAAACTGAGCCAAGCCACTCATGTGAGAAGTTTAAGTAAAAAGTGCCAGAATAACATACAAAAGACACTTCAAAAGAAAAAAAAATTAAAAGTAGCAGGACATATTTAGTTCATCATATAAATTGACTGGCAGGTTAGAGTTGCAAGATATCAGATTATTTGATCTATATAATTTTACCACCTAGGGTTACACATCATTCCCATGGCAAAGTAGGTACATTCTCATGGTTGCTGACCACTGGCAACATACTTGGTGACCAAGGGCAGAGTAGTCTGGGAAATAACAGGCCCCTGAAATTAATTGGGTCTCCCTTCTTACCCTCAATGAAAGTGCAAAAACTTCCAGTATTCCAGTGACTCCCCGTGTAGCTTCTCTCCGAGGTAGTATAGTTCTACTACAATCCCTAGACAACCGCTCTGTTAAGACAGAGACTCATTTTATCTGTGTGGCACTGAGTAGTTTCATCTTTTACCTGTGACAAAGGATAGCGACTTTGGCATGCCCTCCCAGGCTGGCAGTCCCCGTTGTGATGGTTCCTGTACCTGAGCTATGGTGACGAGGTGACTGTGATGATCACCCGCAGGCCAGGGCTGGCTGTAGGACCTTGAATGAATCTAGCAGGTTTTCTGCTTTGGTGAGAGTCATGTTGGCTACAAAGCTTCCCAGGTTCATGGTCTTATTCTGACTCAGAAACACCCCTGTGTATGAAATGCTGGTCACTGGCTTAGAGGAGGGTTTAGACAACAGAAGCTGATTACAGTGTGCAAGGAGAAAGGGAAGAGAAATGGGAGGAAATAAGGGGCCTTGGAATGGAATAAGAGAAAGAAAAGACTGCATATTCTGCAGCTATTCACCCTGCTACAAACTGCTGTGCCCAAAGGGCACTTGGGAGATGTGCCTCCCACCCCAAATGAGTACACATTAAACAGTGCAGAAGTGGAATATGCTGTCTGGAGCGTGTGTGTATGTGTGTGCTCATCAGGGGAGCTATTACATCCACCTAGTCCTATTTTCCTGCAGCATGGACCACAATAAGAGCACATGAGCCCTAGAGCACAGCGACTGGAAGATCGACAGCCCAAGACTAGAGGTGGTCCCACAGCCTCTGCAGACCCAAAGATACACATTTAAATTCCCTCTCTGGAGATACCCAGAATTTCTTTTGGTGTTTTGGCCACAGCAGCACAGCTGTCAAATGTGATAATGCAGCACAGTAATGCCAAAAAAATAAAATATCAAAGTTTGAATTTGAGCTCTAGCACTTTCAAGCACCTCTGTATTTCACATTCTTGTGCATTAAAATGAAGATAGAAATACTTGCCTTGCCTACCTCACAGGTTGCTCTAAAGATTATATAAAATAGCATCCTTGAAACATGTAAATGATAAAGTATGTATTAACATGAAGTATTATTGGTTATTCCTAGATCCCAGCTCCCTCTCCCTCCTTCCCTTTTTTCCTTCTTTCCTCCCCTCCCTCCCTTTCCTTCCTTCCTTCCTTCCTTCCTTCCTTCCTTCCTCCCTCCCTTCCTTCCTTCCTTCCATCCTTCCTTCCTTCTTACATTCCTACTATCTTCTAAGATCTCCAAAGGCTAAGTGCTAAGCAATGGGGAGTTTGGCTTGCATCACTGGAAGTTATTGTTCAAATCATCTCTGAATGAATTCACTTATACCTCCTCACATTTAAACTGAAGGAATCATAAAGTAACAAACACTAACAGGAAGGAATAGAGGCACAGCAAGTTCATATGGCATATTTAGAACTCATTTATTATATAGAAAAGCATCTTTCAGATTTTCTAGACTAATAAATATTTTGTCCCTTTCTTCAGTTTTTGGTAGTTCTTTAAAATCTGTTTCTTCAAAACCTTTTGACTTTGGAATTAGGATCTTTAAGGTGTTGTACCAATAAATTTAGAAAAAGACTTCTGTCATTACATGATGTCTAAGCCAGTACAAACTAGACAGGGAAAATACAGCCCTGGAACAAGCTGAATCTTGTAGTTCATTTGTGGTTTTAAAATGATTAACTTGTGGGAAAGGAAAATCAATTATACTGTAATAAACCTTATTACAGAGAAAAGCTTTAAAGCAAGCACATGTTTAATTAGTAACCTAGACATTATTACTCACTCACAGCCTTCCTTGCCTTTCATGTGGTAATATATGTAATTTATTAACCATTTTGGAAAATCTGTTTTGCCATGAAGCTCCAGTTCCAGTAAATGTAATACAATCCAGAGGATTGAGAAGGAGAGGGTGATGA